>NW_014040925.1:0-141019 GCF_000001405.40 Homo sapiens
TTATTTGCACAAGATAATTTTGCCTGCATAGTAAGGAATTGACTACAGGTGGATGAGGAGAATAGACACCAGTAAACACATATGGATGCTATTAGGAAAAAAAAAATCCTTAATTGATAACAATAAAGGTAGAAGTCATGTTTAAATGAAATATAATATTAAGCTGATTTTTTTGTTAGATTGCTTGTGTTTTCTTACAAGATGTTTTTAGAATAATATTTTAGTTGTTGGTGTATTCGTTTGCCAGGGCTACCATAATAAAATACCACAGAGTTGGTGGCTAAAATAACAGAAATTTATTTTCTCACAGTTCTAGAGGCCAGAAGTCCAAGATCCAGTTGTGGGCGGGTTTGATTTTTCTGAACCCTCTCTCCTTGTCTCACAGATGGCTGCCTTCTCACTGTGTCCTCACATTGCCTTTATTTTGTGAGGGACCATCCCTGACGTCTTTTTTTGCATCCTAATCTTCTGTTTTTAGAAGAACACCAGTCGGATTCAATTAGGGTCTACTGTTATGGCTTCATTTTAATTTAATAACTTATTCAAAACCACATTTTCAAATACAGTCACATTCTAGAGTACTGGGCATTAGGACTTCAACACATGAATTTTTGGGAAAACACAATTAACATTAACATTTGATGTTCTGAGATTTCACCATTGCTTCACATGTTTTCTAAACTATAAACTCATTCCATTTTGTTAATGGAAGTGTTATTTTTTACTATATTATTATTATTTTTTACTCTATTCCATGTATTCCTCTTCTCCTTCTGGAACTCATTTTAGAGAGATATTGGAACCTATGGATCTGTACTTCATTTCTCATCACTTATACTTTCCCTCTCATTTGCATTTATCTCTGTAGTCTGAGATAATCCCTTGGTAGATTTCTAGCCCAGTAATTTACACTTCAACCATGCCCATTAGGCTATTTAGACTATTGTTTCCAGCATAGGTGATCAACTTTTAAATGCCAAGACTTCTAATAAATTTTTCATAGCTGCAATATCCCCTTAGCTGTTTCTGAATGTATCAGTAATGCTTTATCTAAACTCTTCTGCTTGCTTCATTAACTTTGCTTCATTCTTCAGAACCTAAAATGCCTTTACCTTTGCAACAGTCTGCTTCAGAATCTGTTTTGCAATGCTTTTTTTTCTCTTGCTTTTCTTTGGATCTGATCCTACTTACTTTATATCTTTCAGGTATTGCTCATAACATTTGGGCTATAATGGCACTTTAAATTTTTTTCTTGTCTATTATGGATTTATTCTCCATTGTGTGTGTATATGTTTGGTATAGAAAATACATGCATGAATATATATGAAATATATATATATATCCTCTCTTATTTATATATTTTATAAAATATATGAAATCTTTTTTCTTCTTTCATGTAATCTTGGATGCATAGGCATTTTGCAGCATTTGTACACTTTGTCATCTTGAGTCAATCTATTATTTTGGAAAATCTTTGCATCCTAATCTTCTGTTCTCAGAATATTTATTTAATATTTTGTACTTATTGTTAATTTATGTTTGTTCCATAATGAGCTCTTTATTTATAGAAACTACCTCACTACTTTTCTTATTAAACCCTGCCAATTTTTATTTGAATACTATTTGTATTTGTTTTTTTAACTTTATTTTCAGTACTTACTTTTAGAGATAATATCAAGGTTTTGTTCTATCAATGGGAATTTTCTATCCACAAATGTTTTGGCATTATTTAGTAATACATTCACTACCCCCTTCCATACTGAAGGTAATATCTTCCTAGAAAAGTACAATAGGAGCTTTGGGGTATGCCAGGCAAAATGTAAACTAATACTGTTAAAACAAGAATAAATTTATTTTAATCATTTTTAATACTGATTAACAAGCAATATAATATTAAATACTATTAGACAATAAGTGTGGCAATGATATTTGTAAAATATAGATTCAGTAATTTTATTAATTTTACAGAATATACAGTAGAAACTGCAAGAATGGAACAGGTTACATGCATATTTTACAGGAAGAACACATGAAATGTAGTCTACTTTTATGAATAAAGCTTCTTATATCCGTTAAATATAAACTTGCCAAGGAAGTGAAAAGAAATAAGAATATTCTTAACCTTAAGTCTCAGTACAAATCTTATGAGAGACTTGAAAATATCTTCTGTTACTCACCAAGTGATAATTTGGAAAGAGACAGTAAACAATGACAGACTATGACAAGGAACTTGAAAATGAGAGTTTTAGTTCTGGCTATGCTTGTTACTAATTTGAGGAATTGAACGTTATTTTCTAAACCTGTTTGGTCTCTCTCTCTCTCTCTCTCCCTGTGTGTGTGTAACACTTAATCTAAGGTTCTCTACCAACTGGTTCCATCTCTAAGGTAAATAAACTCAGTTTTTTTGTTTTTTGTTTTTCTTTTCTCAAGGAGCCTGTAGTCTTTAGGAGAGTTAGAGATGTAAACCAATATCTCTGGGTGCTAGGACTATTCTCTTTCCTTTGCTAAGACTTATCTACAAATATTCTTTATGGATATAGAGAGGAAGAGTTTAAAATCCCATTGAACCAAGTACCTCTCCAGCTGTTCCTTCACCAGTAGGTTAGGTACATACTATCCCTTGATGTCTGCCAGCCACCCATAGATACTCCCTGCGTCCCATACTTTACAGTGATGGTAGTGCTACTGCTACTATCTGATTTTACAAGGAGTAGAGGGATTCTCTTACTCTTTCAAACATTGCTGGTTTTTAAATATGTATATATTTATTATATATATAATATATATGATAATATATGATCATCTTAGTCTGTTTTGTGTTGCTATAACAATACCTGAGACTAAGTAATTTATAAATAAAAGATATTTATTTTTTATAGTTCTGAAGACTGGGAATTACAAGATTGAGGAATCTATATGTGGCAAGATGTTGCATCATCTCATGGTGGAAGGCGGAAGGGCAAGAGAGCTCAAGCAAGGGCAAGACGGGGCCAAACTCACTTTTATAGAAAACTCACTGTCATGATACTAAACCATTCCCAACATAATGACATTAATCCATTCATGAAGGCAGAGCCCTGACGACCTAATCACCTCTTATTTGGCCCCAGTTCCCATCACTGTTGCACTGGAACTTTAGGAGACACATTCAAACCACAACAGAAGTATCTAACATAGTCAAACTCATAGAAATATAAAGTAAAATGGTGGTTGCCATTTCCCTATCATTGCTTCCTAATTTCTCTAATCCTTCCATTATCTTCTAGTCTAGTATAGACACCAGACTCAGACCTGGCCAAACATAGTACTTCACTCTCCTTCCCGTAAGAGATGGCTATGTATGGTTTGCCTGCCAAACATGCCTCTGTTCTAACTCCTGGAGCCCATTAATATATTGTTCAATGTGGCAAAGGGGAAATAAGGTAACAGATGGAATTAAGCTTGCTAATACCTTAATCTTAAAATAGGGAGATTATCCTGGATTTTCCAGGTGGGCCCAGGTAATTGCAAGGGGCTGGGGGGATGAGGAAATGAAATTGTTAAACAGGTATAGAGTTTCCATTTTGCAAGATGAAAAGTTCTGAATATCTATAGCACAATAATGTGAATATACTTTACATTACTGATCTAATATTGTTCTAAACTCTCTTTTTCTAAAAATAATATGACCCTGATACTTTTGAAGATTTAAGTTGTTATTTATTAAAGGAATTTGAAATTTCGATGGTTGTTTAAAGACTACACAGAGTGGATATGAGGGGTGGTAGGACATTGGGTATGATGTCTCTGAGACAGCTACTTTGTCGTAATGTGAAAGTATAGAACCTCGCTGCCTAGGCCTGGTGGTCAAGGACATTGAAAGAAACTGAGTTTCCTACCGTCTTATACTATTTTATGTAACATTTTTTCCTTTCCCATATACTGAAAACTCTTGGGAAAAACAAAACCAACAAACTAAAAAATACCTCAATGTCTTTTCACGTTATTCCAGAGGAAAAGAGTATTATTTCAGTCCACTGGTTTATCAGGAAAGGCACTGTGTTTGTGTGTGTGTGTGTGTGTGTGTGCATTTGCATGCATACATGTGTACATGCTCTGAACTATAATGTTAAGAGTGAAGAGAATTATCAAGAGGACAAGTAAGATAAGTTATTTGGCTGATATTGATACTGATTTTACACTGATGTATAAAATAATCAAACATATCTACTCAAGGGTGGGCAAAACTCCTTTCCAAACATTTCATTTCATTTTCTTTCATTGAAAAATATATATTCCTCTGATTAATATGACATTGGCTTTATTTCTTATGAACTAATATTCTGGCCTTATACTGTTAATTTATTCTTTTTTTCTCTGGCTTATTTTAGAAAACATTCTTGTGACTAAGACCCATGTTCAAATCTTCTTTCCTCATCAGGGGTGAAGGCATAGCAGGGGGTGTAAGGACAATCTTAGCTCATTTTCTCACTAAAATCATTGTAAGATATAGTAAGTTTAATAATGTAGCTATATTGTATGCACAGAGTAGTGATAAATCTACTTGGAAGAGTCAGGGAAACCTTACTAAGAGAGGAGAGTCAAGCAAAATCTTTATGTATATGTAGAAATGTTTTAGGAGATAAAAGGCATAGTCAAGGAAGTATAAGATTACATATACCTTAATAATTTTTTTGTGTGTTAAAGTGGCAAAAATGTGAGTCAAACTAGCTTAAGATAAAAAAGAATGCATTGACTCATGTAATTGAAAAAGTCCAGTATACACAAAATGTATACTCAGAGCTTGTTCTCTTGTATGTGACATCCTTGTGTGGGTTAAATTCTTGGATAAGTTGTTTTTTTTATTTTATTTTTTTTCCTGTGGTGGAAAGAGGTTCCTGGTGGCTTCAGCCCTGTAGGTTCTTACGTCTTGGGATCCTGCTGAAAAGAGTTCTCCTCTCTTACATTATCAACATATCAATATGACAAATATTTTCATGAAACACTGGCCCTTTTGGGCCACACGATGTATTAGTTTCCTATTGCTGCTTGCTATGGTCTGATTTTTTTATCCTCCCAAACTTTATATGTTGAACGTAACCCCAAAGGTGATAATATTAAGAGGTGAGAAATTTGAGATGTGATGAGGTCATGAGGGCACAGCCTTCATGAATGGGATTAGTGTTCTTATGAAAGAGACCCCAGAGAGCTCGCTAGCCTCTTTCACCGTGTGAGAATACAGCAAGAAGGTGCCATCTATAAGGAAGTGGGCCTTCACCAGACACTGAGTCAGTGTCAAAGCCAGCACCTTTATCTTGGACTTTCCAGCCCCCAGAACTGTGAGAAATACATTTTTTCTTGTTTATAACATAATATGATATATACTTTAGCTTATAAGGTACAAATAAGGTACTTTTTATTATAGCAAAGCAAATGGACTAAGAAATTGCTTTAACAAATTACCAAAAACTTAGTGGCTTAAAACAAGACACACATATTATGTACAATTCTGGAGGTCAGAAGTTTTAAATGGGTCTCATTGGTCTAAAGTCAAGGTGTCAGGAGGGCTCCATTTCTTTCTGGAGGATCTGTTTCCTTGCATTTTCCAGCTGCCATAGCCTGCCATATTCCTTGGCTTATGATGCCTCAGTCATCTTCAAAGCCATACTCACATTTCATGGATCAAACTCTTCTGTATCCTTTTTTCATGTTTAAGGACCCTTGCAATTACACTGGGCCCACCTGGAAAATCCAGGGTAATCTCCCTATTTTAAGATTAAGGTATTAGCAAGCTTAATTCCATCTGTTACCTTATTTCCCCTCTGCCACACTGAACAATATATTAATGGGCTTCAGGAATTAGAACAGAGGCATCTTTGGCAGGCAAACCATACATAGCCATCTCTTACGGGAAGGAGAATGAAGTACTATGTTTGGCCAGGTCTGAGTCTGGTGTCTATACTAGACTATAAGAAGATAATGGAAGGATTAGAGAAATTAGGAAGCAACGACAGGGAAATTTATATTCATTCTTGTTGGGAAAGACAGTATATGATATATGTAGATTCTAAGACTAAAACTAGAGCAGGAAAGTGATTTAAAGATTGATGGGGGTGGGGATAGAATGAGAGTGTTGCACTTCTGCTTATGGAGCCATCACGTTGTTTAGAATCTAGAGAAAAGTGTGAACTAAGTGTTCAGAATGTCCTGTGATAACTGATTTGAAAATGGATAAAGGGCAAAATAAAATGGTGGTCTCAAATCAGGTAGAGGTGAGGTGTGAATATTGGAAAGGGAGGGTGTGAGTCTTGCCAGAAGCATGGAGTTCCATGTTTCTCACTCTTGCTAGAGGGGATGTGGAGTTTGCAGGAGAAAAGATTTAATTAGAAGTACATAGAGCTCTTGGATCCCTCTTAATTCCTGTCCATGGATATGTGGAAGCCAGAGGAGATATGGTTTTGTCTGAAGCATCTGAGATTGGAGGATTTCTGCTGAAAATCAGAGCATGCAGAGTTAACATAATCATTTTTTTCTCATAAATATTACTCTGGTGACTGTATGAAGACCAAAATAAAGGGTTAAGCTAAGGTAGAGAAAATGCTGCTGGAAGACTCTTTTGAAAATCCATTTGAGGGAAAAAAATTAGACAAAAGCCATAATGATATGAAGAAAAAGTAATGCAAAAAGTTAATAAAATATAATCAACCATACCTAGATTTTTATATTATTGCTGCAACCTAGAAAAACAAAGTATGCATTAGTCAGGTTGTTTCAGTTTCTATTTACAGAAACTCCCCTCAAACAAGCTTTATTCATTCATTTATCCATTTAACAACAGTTTATTGAAAGCCAGGCATGTTGCTAGCAAAGATTCTGCCAAAGTGGAGCTTATGTTTTACCGGGGGAAAGAGACTATAAAAATAAAATAAATAAATTAGAGAATTCAGATCAGAGTGTTATGCTTGTTATAAAAGTATGCAGTAAAAGAATAACTAAAAGTTTATTTACTGAAGGCAGGGAAGGGCTCTCTGAAGTGATGTATTACCTGAGCTTAAGAAAAGTGGTCTATATTAGGACATATAACTGAAACAGTTATTTAAAAAGCTGTTTTTAGATATACGTATAGTCACCTCCATGTCTTTCTCTCTCTCGGCTCAGCTTGTCTCTATGTGGCATTATTCTATAGAGAAGAACTTCATATTGTGAGCAAGATGGCTAACTACTTCATATCTGCATTGTCTATGCAGAGATTTCTCCTCTAAGAACCCCTTGTCTATAAAGGGGTAATATAGTCATTCCTGAAGTAGTCACTCGGGAGAAGGGATGGTATCTCTGGCCAACCGGGGACAGAGGACTGTTCCTGGAATTGGAAATGAGTACTATAATGGATGGATGCTTCAGAAACGGTGAAGTCAGTGAAGTGATTCTGCAAAGGAACTAGACAAAAAAGGATAGGGAAATCCTGACAGACAGAAAAAAAATAGCACTGCCAACAAGAACTAATGATAGTCCCATAATACATAATATTGATTGTTTAGAAAATATGGGATGAACATTCTATGCACCTGGATGCAAAATGGACCGCTTAAATAAGTCATCAATTTTTAAGACAGAAAAATGTTTAAAGTGTGAGATTAATAATAATAATGTGGTAAGAATTATCTAGACAATGCTGACTACCACCACAAAATTAAACAAAATTCAGAATTATGAAATCTTAAAAAATTACCATTTTCTCTTTGTAAACTTTGCTTAAGTTCATAGAAATCTGTCTTATGAATGATGCATAAAAGTTATATTTTAATCTGTAAGTAATAGGACTAAAAATTTAATTTAGAAATAATTACAAGCCAAAAAACCTGATGAATAAATATTATTGAAGAACACTGGCTATAAGATGCAAATAAATATGTTAACATTAAACTTAGGAAATCAAAAATAGGTAGGAAATATGGGGGGAAATATTTGTTTTTGGCAGAAGGGAAAATCCTGGTGGTGTGGAAGGACTCCCTATATCTAATAAGCACAATGTTTAATCCCTGTTAGAGTTTCTTTCTGGCTTTAATTCAACAATATTTGGTATGTGTGTGTATATGTGCATGTGTGTCCTCTACTTAAGTGTTTTTTTATTCGTCTCTTCAACAAATATTTAATGCATGCTGTTTTGCCCTGTTCAAAGACTAAAATAGCCCTTGACAGGAGTCATGATTTACATTTAGATAGTTGAAAGAATTGGTAATTGCTATAGGTAAAAGAGAAGAGGCTAAAAGTTAAAGTGTTTGTGCACTGAATAAATCTGTTCATTTGTATTTGTGGTGAGCCTATATGCTCTTTTGAGTTTCCTTTTTTATTTCACACCTTAACAATGGGTAACATTAAACAGGGAATGTATTTAGATTTGCTCTGACAACCAAGTTAATTGAAATGTTAAAAGACCTCTGTTTCAATGGGAAAAATAAATTTTTCAAGAGGAGCTGTGTCCTTCTTAAAAGAGAGATCACAAAACAAGTGAGACATATGATGGAAGCCATTAGAGAGAAGGATGAATGCCACTTTGTGAAGTGCTGTTTCAGCTGTCTCAGGAGACGAGCTGCCAAGCACTCTCAAGAAGGAAATACGAAATCAGACATTTGTATGTGTGCAGTACCCACCATGTTTGCTCTGAGCAGAGAGAACCATATGAAGCAAGACAGTAAAGGTGAAATCCAACAAGATAGCCTACTTTATTGCCATGGCAACAGAACCCTGATGAAAAGTAGAAAAACAATAAAATACCTCTGAAAAAAAACCTGTGCTATGTATATCTACTGAATTGAGGAAAAATGCACTCATGGCAGGAGCCTGATATTTTTACCATTTGGTGACTTCCCTTAACAAAACCATGTGTACTGCTTTTGGAAAATGTTGAATTAAAAAGCATTGCATTTACTAAATTATTTAGTTGATCCTGTTGCTAAATTCAGATTGATATGTGAAAGCTGTACCTTCAGATTAGAATCTTTAGTGTTATTGCAGAGGTCAAAGCATTAACATTTTCACTCTCCTTGATGCCTTTGACAAACTTTTGCCATCATTTCACACAAATTGTACGTTCAATGAGAAAGAGAAGTTCTATGACATTCTGATATTTGATTAAAATTAAAACTATATTTTATTTAAAATTCTCATATTTCAACCATTATTTTTAAAAATGTTCTCACTTCAACATGCTGTTTATTAGTACACAGTTTAGTTTGGAGGGAAAACATTGTCTTTTTTCTATTCTGAGTTTGTTTAACTATCACAGCTTCCTACATCTTCCCAGTTTTAACCAATTTTGAGTTGTTCCTAAGATTGTTTGTATTCAAATAAGACCTCCTTTTTTTTGTAGAAAAAGTCTGGGAAAGCTCATTTTTCATTTTTAAAATCAGCTTCACTGATGTAATTTACATACAATAAAATCTACCCTTAAAAAGTGAGTTTTGACAAATGTCACATAACTATTACCACAATCAATTTCTTTGCAAAATTAATACCAATTTCTTCACATTGATTAAAGTGTTTCATTTAGAAATTAAAATATGCATCTTTGACTTATCATACACTGTGTACTAACTGGCTCTTAGAAAAAAATATAGAAATATTGCACCAAATCTGACTTCTTTATGCTATTATTGCTATGACTATTATATATGTATATGTTATCAATCCAACAATGGAGGTTATAATTTTTTATACTTTCAAATTTAATTTTAGAGTTGGGGGTACATGTGCAGATTTGTTACATGTCATCTCATGACACTAAGGTTTGGGGCACAAATTATCCTATCACCCAGGGAGTGACCATAGTACCTAAATTTATAGCCCTTTTGCCCCTTTCCTACTCTCTCCTTGAGTAGTCCCCATTGAGTATTATCTTTATGTCCATGTGTACCCAATGCTTAGCTCCCACTTACAAGTAAGAACATGTGGTATTTGGTTTTTGTTCCCAAATTAATTTGCTGGATAATGCCCTCCAGTGGTATCCATGTTGTTGCAGAGACCATGATTTTATTAATTTTTATGGCTGCATAGTATTCCACAGTGTACATGAACCACATTTTCTTTATTCAGTCTACTGTGGATGGGCACCTAGATTGATTCCATGTCCTTGCTATTGTGACTAGTGGTGACATAAATGTAATAGTACCTGCATCTTTGGGGTAGAATGATTAACTTTCCTTTGGGTATAAATCTAGCAATGGGATGGATGAGTTGAATGGTAGCTCTGTTTTAAGTTATTAGAAATCTTCAAACTGCTTTCTTCAGTGACTGAACTAATTCACATTTCTACCAACAGTGTATAAGCATTCCCTTATTTCCACAACCTTGTCATCTATTATTTTTTGACTTTTTAACAATAACCATACTACTTTCGGAGGCCAAGGCAGGGAGATCACTTGAGGTCAGGAGTTCTAGACCAGCCTGATCAACACGGTGAAACCCCATCTCTACTAAAAATACAAAATAGCTGGGCGTAATGACACACACCTGTAATCTCAGCTACTTCGGAGGCTAAGGTGGGAGAATTGCTTGAACGCAGGAGGTGGAGGCTGTAGTGAGCCAAGATCGTGTCACTGCATTCCATCCCTGGTGACAGAGTGAGACTCCAACTCAAAACAAAACAAACAAACAAAAACTCAAAAAGCAATAGCCATACTTACTGGGGTGAGATAGTATCTTATTGTGGTTTTGATTTACATTTCTCTAAGGATTAGTTATGTTGAGAATTTTTTCATGTTTTTTGGCCACTAATGTTTGTCTTCTTTTGAGAAATGTCTGTGTATGTTTTTGCCCACTTTTAAAGGGTGTTATTTGTTTTTGCTTGTTGAATTGTTTCAGTTCCATATAAATTCTGGAACTAGACCTTTATCTTGTGCATAGTTTGAGAATATTTTCTCTCATTCTATAGGTTGTCTGTATACTCTTAATAATTTCTTTTAATGTTCAGAATCTCTTTATTTTAATTAGATTCCACTTGCAAATTTTTGTTTTTTTGCAATTACTTTTGAGGACCTAGCCATAAACTTTTGGGCTAAGGCCAGTGTCAAGAAGGGCATTTTCTAAGTTTTCTTCTAGGATTTTTATGGTTTTAGCTATCATATTTAAATCTTTAATCCATACTGAATTGATGTTTTTATATGGTGAAAAGTAGGAGTCCAGTTTCAATCTTCTGCATATGGCTTAAAAGTTATCCCAGCTCCATTTATTGAATAATATGTCCTTTCCTCATTGCTTATTTTTGCTGGCTTTGTCAAATATCAGATGTTTGCAGGTGAAAGGCTTTATTTCTGTTTCCTCTTAATCTGTGTGACTGTTTTTGTACCAATATCATGCTGTTGAGGTTACAGTAACCTTAGAATATAGTTTGAAGTCTGATAATGTGATGCATCTCGCTTTGTTCTTTTTGCTTCGGAGTACTTTGACTATTCAGGCTCTTTTTAGTTCCATATGAATTTTAGAGCAGTTTATTCTATGTCTGTGAAAAATGACTTTGGTAATTTGATAGGAATAACATTAAATCTATAGATTGCTTTGGGCAGTATGACCATTATAATAATATTGATTTTTCCTATCCATGAGCATGTAATATTTTTCCATTTGTTTGTTTTCATCTTTGATTTATGTTAGCAGTGTTTTTAAATTCTCATTGTAGAGATCTTTCACCTTTTTTGGATAGATATATTCCTTTTTATTTTTGTTTGTGGCAATTATAAATGGGATTGCATTCTTGATTTGGCTCTCAGCTTAAATATTATTGTAGACAGAAGTGCTACTGATTTTTACACATTGATTTTGTGTCCTAAAATTTTACTGAAGTCATTTATCTGTCCTAGGAGCCTTTTACCTAAGTCTTCAGAATTTTCTAGGTGTAGAATCATATCTCTGTGAAGACAGATAATTTTACCTTTTCTTTTCCTATTTAGATGCTTTTTATTTGTTTCTCTTGCCTGATTGCTCTGACTAGGACTTCCAGTACTGTGTGGAACAACCTCGGCTTGAGCCTGTTCTTAACTGGAATGCCCCCAGCATTTGCCTATTCAGTATGATGTTGGCTATGTGTTTGTCATAGATGGCTCTTATTGTTTGTTGTGTTCTTTCAATGCCTAGTCTGGTGAGGTGTTTTATCATGAAGGGATATTGTATTTTATCAAAACACTTTTCTGTACATATTGAGATGGTTATACACTTTCTGCTTTTAATTTTATTTATGTAGTGAATCACATTTATCAATTTGCATATGTTCAACCAAACTTTCATTCCAAGAATAACGCCTACTTGATCATGGTGAATTAACATTTTGATGTGCTGCTGGATTTGGTTTGCTAATAGTTTGTTAAAGATTTTTGGGTCTATATTCATCAAGGATGCTGGCCTGTAGTTTCCTTTTATGGTTGAGACTTTGCCAGATTTTTTATTATAGTGATGTTGGCATCATAGAATGTGTTAAGAAGGAGTTCTTTCTCTTAATTTCTTTTTGGAATAATTTTAGAATTGGTACCAGCTCTTCTTTGTGCATCTGGTAGAATTTGGCTGTGAATGTATCTGCTCTGGGGCTTTTTTAGTTGGTAGTTCTTTTTTTAAAAAAATAGTAATTAAATTTTGAAATTCAGTACTTGGGGGAGGAGCCAAGATGGCCGAATAGGAGCAGCTCCGGTCTACAGCTCCCAGGGTGAGCGACGCAGAAGACAGGTGATTTCTGCATTTCCATCTGAGCTTTGAAGAGAGCAGTGGTTCTCCCAGCACGCAGCTGGAGATCTGAGAATGGGCAGACTGCCTCCTCAAGTGGGTCCCTGACCCCTGACCCCGGAGCAGCCTAACTGGGAGGCACCCCCCAGCAGGGGCAGACTGACACCTCACACAGCCAGGTACTCCAACAGACCTGCAGCTGAGGGTCCTGTCTGTTAGAAGGAAAACTAACAAACATAAAGGACATCCACACCAAAAACCCATCTGTACATCACCATCATCAAAGACCAAAAGTAGATAAAACCACAAAGATGGGGAAAAAACAGAGCAGAAAAACTGGAAACTCTAAAAAAGCAGAGCGCCTCTCCTCCTCCAAAGGAACGCAGGTCCTCACCAGCAACGGAACAAAGCTGGATGGAGAATGACTTTGACGAGCTGAGAGAAGAAGGCTTCAGACAATCAAATTACTCCGAGCTACAGGAGGACATTCAAACCAAAGGCAAAGAAGTTGAAAACTTTGAAAAAAATTTAGAAGAACGTATAACTAGAATAACCAATACAGAGAAGTGCTTAAAGGAGTTGATGGAGCTGAAAACCAAGGCTCGAGAACTACGTGAAGAATGCAGAAGCCTCAGGAGCCGATGCAATCAACTGGAAGAAAGGGTATCAGCGATGGAAGATGAAATGAATGAAATGAAGCGAGAAGGGAAGTTTAGAGAAAAAAGAATAAAAAGAAACGAGCAAAGCCTCCAAGAAATATGGGACTATGTGAAAAGACCAAATCTACATCTGATTGGTGTACCTGAAAGTGATGGGGAGAATGGAACCAAGTTGGAAAACACTCTGCAGGATATTATCCAGGAGAACTTCCCCAATCTAGCAAGGCAGGCCAACATTCAGATTCAGGAAATACAGAGAACGCCACAAAGATACTCCTCGAGAAGAGCAACTCCAAGACACATAATTGTCAGATTCACCAAAGTTGAAATGAAGGAAAAAATGTTAAGGGCAGCCAGAGAGAAAGGCCGGGTTACCCTCAGAGGGAAGCCCATCAGACTAACAGCGGATCTCTTGGCAGAAACTCTACAAGCCAGAAGAGAGTGGGGGCCAATATTCAACATTCTTAAAGAAAAGAATTGTCAACCTAGAATTTCATATCCAGCCAAACTAAGCTTCATAAATGAAGGAGAAATAAAATACTTTACAGACAAGCAAATGCTGAGAGATTTTGTCACCACCAGGCCTGCCCTAAAAGAGCTCCTGAAGGAAGCGCTAAACATGGCAAGGAACAACCGGTACCAGCCACTGCAAAATCATGCCAAAATGTAAAGACCTTTGAGACTAGGAAGAAACTGCATCAACTAATGAGCAAAATAACCAGCTAACATCATAATGACAGGATCAAATTCACACATAACAATATTAACTTTAAATGTAAATGGACTAAATGCTCCAATTAAAAGACACAGGCTGGCAAATTGGATAAAGATACAAGACCCATCAGTGGGCTGTATTCAGGAAACCCATCTCACATGCAGAGACACACATAGGCTCAAAATAAAAGGAGGGAGGAAGATCTACCAAGCAAATGGAAAACAAAAAAAGGCAGGGGTTGCAATCCTAGTCTCTGATAAAACAGACTTTAAACCAACAAAGATCAAAAGAGACAAAGAAGGCCATTACATAATGGTAAAGGGATCAATTCAACAAGAAGAGCTAACTATCCTAAATATATATGCACCCAATACAGGAGCACCCAGATTCATAAAGCAAGTCCTGAGTGACCTACAAAGAGACTTAGACTCCCACACATTAATAATGGGAGACTTTAACACCCCACTGTCAACATTAGACAGATCAACGAGGCAGAAAGTCAACAAGGATACCCAGGAATTGAACTCAGCTCTGCACCAAGCGGACCTAATAGACATCTACAGAACTCTCCACCCCAAATCAACAGAATATACATTTTTTCAGCACCACACCACACCTATTCCAAAATTGACCACACAGTTGGAAGTAAAGCTCTCCTCAGCAAATGTAAAAGAACAGAAATTATAACAAACTATCTCTCAGACCACAGTGCAATCAAACTAGAACTCAGGATTAAGAATCTCACTCAAAACTGCTCAACTACATGGAAACTGAACAACCTACTCCTGAATGACTACTGGGTACATAACGAAATGAAGGCAGAAATAAAGATGTTCTTTGAAACCAATGAGAACAAAGACACAACATACCAGAATCTCTGGGACGCATTCAAAGCAGGGTGTAGAGGGAAATTTATAGCACTAAATGCCCACAAGAGAAAGCAGGAAAGATCCAAAATTGACACCCTAACATCACAATTAAAAGAACTAGAAAAGCAAGAGCAAACACATTCAAAAGCTAGCAGAAGGCAAGAAATAACTAAAATCAGAGCAGAACTGAAGGAAATAGAGACACAAAAAACCCTTCAAAAAATTAATGAATCCAGGAGCTGGTTTTTTGAAAGGATCAACAAAATTGATAGACTGCTAGCAAGACTAGTAAAGAAGAAAAGAGAGACGAATCAAATAGACGCAATAAAAAAAGATAAAGGGGATATCACCACCAATCCCACAGAAATACAAACTACCATCAGAGAATACTACAAACACCTCTACGCAAATAAACTAGAAAATCTAGAAGAAATGGATAAATTCCTTGACACATACACCCTCCCAAGACTAAACTAGGAAGAAGCTGAATCTCTGAATAGACCAATAACAGGCTCTGAAATTGTGGCAATAATCAATAGCTTACCAACCAAAAAGAGTCCAGGACCAGAAGGATTCACAGCCGAATTCTACCAGAGGTACAAGGAGGAACTGGTACCATTCCTTCTGAAACTATTCCAATCAATGGAAAAAGAGGGAATCCTCCCTAACTCATTTTATGAGGCCAGCATCATCCTGATACCAAAGCCTGGCAGAGACACAACCAAAAAAGAGAATTTTAGACCAATATCCTTGATGAACATTGATGCAAAAATCCTCAATAAAATACTGGCAAAGCAAATCCAGCAGCACATCAAAAAGCTTATCCACCATGATCAAGTGGGTTTCATCCCTGGGATGCAAGGCTGGTTCAGTATATGCAAATCAATAAATGTAATCCAGCATACAAACAGAACCAAAGACAAAAACCATATGACTATCTCAATAGATGCAGAAAAGGCCTTCAACAAAATTCAACAACCCTTCATGCTAAAAACTCTCAATAAATTAGGTATTGATGGGACGTATCTCAAAATAATAAGAGCTATCTATGACAAACCCACAGCCAATATCATACTGAATGGGCTTTCAGTTTTTCACCATTGTGTATGAGGTTAGCTGGGTTTTTCATACATGGCCTTTATTATGTTGAAGTGATTTCCTTCTATTCCTAGTTGGTTGATTGGTCACGTAGTAGTGTTGAATCTTATCATCTTGTCAATTTTTTTGCATCAATTGAGATGATTTGTGGTTTAGTTTCCCCTTCACTCTCTTAATGTATTACATTGATTGATTTTTATATATTAAGCCATGCTTACATTCCAGGAATAAATCCCACTGGTAATGGTGTATAATATTTTAAATGAGCTATTGAATTTAATTTGCTAATACATTTTTGGTGAGTAACTCATTTATCATGATATTCATCTACAGATTTATTTTTCTGTATTTTCTTGGTTAGGCTTTGTTATCAGTTTAATACTTTACTCAGAGTGGGCTTGAAAGTGTTCTCTCCTCTTCAAATTTTCAGAAAAGTTTGAGGAGGATGGATGTTAATTCTTCTTTAAATGTTTGAGAAAAGTTCCCTGTTAAGCTATCTAGTCCTGGGCTTTACTTTGCTGGGAGGTTGTTGATTATTGATTTAATCTCCTTATTAGTTATAGGTCTATTCAGATATTCTACTTTTTCATGATTCAGTGTTGGTAGGTTTTGCTTTTCTAGGAACATGTCTATTTCATCTAGACTATTAAATTTTTTGGAGTGCAATTTATCTTAGTACTCTTGTAATATTTTTGTATCTTTAGAAATAGTAGTAATGTCCTCTCTTTCATTTCTGATGTTACTTTTTTGAATCTTCTCTTTTTCTTAGTCCATCTAGCTAAAAGTTTGTCAATTTTGTTGAACTTTCCTAAGAACCAACTCTTGCCTTTATTATTTCTATTGTTTTTCTATTATTGATTTTGCTTATCTCTGTTCTAATTTTTATTATTTCCTTTTTGAGCTAGTTTTGTGTTTAGTTTGTTTTTCTATTTCTAGTATGCTAAAGTGTAATGTTAGGCTTATTGATGTGAGATCTTTCCTCCTTTTTAATATAAGCATTTATTTACAGCTATAAATTTTTCTCATAACACTGTGTTTGCTGCATCCCGTAAGCTTTGGTATGTTATGCTGTAATTTTCATCTGTTTCGAGATATTCTATAATTACCCTTATGATTTCTTTTTTGATCCACTTGTTGTTTAAGAGTGTGTAGTACAGAATTCTGATAATCCTGGCCTTTGAGACGGGGGCTATATTTATTGGTGTCTTCTCTCAACTGACTCAGTCACAGCTAAACAAGTAGTCTTGTCTGAGAAGCCACTGATCTCTGAGGAGACAGATCTTATTGAGCTAACTCTACTGGAGAGCTCATGTGCCACATTGGTTCTTTGGCCTCTGTGTATCATAAGCCTCCAAATATTTTTGTGGAAGGAAGTCATGGAATCCATTGTAAATAGTTGCCAATTCATCATGGGAGTACTGATTCAGGTGACAGCCCTGTTGGTACCACTGCAACTAACCTGAAACAGCCTCAGGTTATCCCCTCATAAGGTAATCTTCTCAGGGGTCTTTTAAACCTTGACCTCAGTCAACCAGTCAATGTGCCACAGGTGTCCTCCATGCAGATGGGAGCAGTGGATCTCTTGGGAGGAGGATAAGATAGTCTGGTGGGACAATCCTTCATCCTATGATGGGTGTCTGCAACCTTTGTTTCTTCATCTACACCTGCTGTGGTCAGCAGTGGACTGAATGACCTGTTTGAACTCTCCACAGGGATAGGCATGGCACCTGGTGGGTATGTGGCTCCTAAGGCTATTTCTGGCTACCTGCATTACAGGATAAAGGCTTAGAGATTTCAGGAACATTGAGTCACCACCAAGGGCACATCTATATGGAAATGAACTTCACCAATACAGCTCTGCAGCATATGACAGATTTTGTAATCTAGTTTAACAAGAATAGCACTCCTCTGGCCATCCATACACCACTGATGCCAAACCAGAACATTGATGTCTCCCTGCCTCTCAATACCTTGGGCCTAGTCATGAAGATGACTGAATAACCTGCAGGTGGCTGTGAAAAACAATATTGATGTCTTCTACTTCAGTCACCTCACCCCACCTCACCCCAATCAGTGTGCTTTTTAGAAGATGGCAAAATGGAGCACCAGGTCTTTCTTGCAACAGGGAAGGATATTCCCAATGAAATGAACTTCAGTTTTAGATTAACGAATGTCATTTAAATGCTGACATTGTTTCCAGCAAGTTGCAAAACAATAATGTTTATACTATTGCCAAGAGTAATGTGGAAGGGCAGGACATGGTGTACCAATCCCTGAAGCTCACTAATGGCATTTGGATTTTGGCTGAGCTATGTATCCACCCAGGAAACCCCCATTATATGCTGTCACTGAAGTGCAGAGCTCCTGAAGTCTCCCAATACATATCAAGTCTAGGACAGCATTTTGAAAAGCTAACAAGACTTGTCCACTACCTTCCAATCACGCTGTGATCGGTGCAAGCCAAGAACTCTTTTTTTTTCTTTTAATGATTTCCAGTAAGAAAATGAATAATGATTTATTTTCCCCCAACTTTTTAAAAAATCACAAACCTTTATAAAAGTTTAAAAAATAATACAATGAACATCCACGTACCTTTACCTAGAGTCAACATTTTGTTATTTTCCCACATTTCTTTTTTTTAAATTTTTTTATTATACTTTAATTTCTAGGGTACATGTGCACAATGTGCAGGTTTGTTACATATGTATACATGTGCCATGTTGGTGTGCTGCACCCATTAACTTGTCATTTACATTAGGTATATCTCCTAATGCTATCCCTCCCCCCTCCCCCAACCCCACAACAGGCCCCAGTGTGTGATGTTCCCCTTCCTGTGTCCAAGTGTTCTCATTGTTCAATTCCCACCTATGAGCGAGAACATGTGGTGTTTGGTTTTTTGTCCTTGCAATAGTTTGCTGAGAATGATGGTTTCCAGCTTCATCCATGTCCCTACAAAGGACATGAACTCATCATTTTTTATGGCTGCATAGTATTCCATGGTGTATATGTGCCATGTTTTCTTAATCCAGTCTGTCACTCTTAACTGGAAGATGTGTTGCTGTGTAGAATCTGAACCCAAACATACTGAGGTAACCCAGCAAGGTAGTAACTAGTCTAACCTGTCTAACCTGTGCTAACATTAGAGTACAACCTGTTGGATACTTTTAGCATCCTGTGAACATTGGTAACCACTGCTTCAGTCACCTCCTAACTCTTGCCACCTGCTGCTCTTGTCTGTGGTTACTTGTGGGCTTCTCCGTGCTGTGCCAATGGCTGGCTTTTTCTACACCCTCTTTTGAGGGTAGTTTGGTATTTTGTAATTGAGAGCTCATTCCAAAAGCAGAAAAAGACAACAAATGCTAAAGCAAGAAAGTGTCACTGAAAAAAAGTGTGTTGTTTAATTTCCACATATTTGTAGATTTCCCACTTCTACTATTATTTTTCAGTTTCATTCCATTGTGATCAGAAAAGAATCACTGTACAATTTTAATCCTTTAACATTTATTAAAACTTGTTTAGTGGCCTAAAATATCGTCTATCCTGGAGAATGCCCATGTGTACTTCAGAGGAATATGCTACTGTTGATTAGAATAAAATTTTATTCTTTTCTTTATTTTGATTAGGAATGTGAGATTTAGGAATGAAATAGTTTACCTAGGATCAAGCAACAAGGAAGGTGACTTGGAAAGTTTAGAAACTCAAGTTTTTTAACATGAACATTTTATAATCAAAATATAATTTTCAAGTAGTTTAAAATATGATTCTTAAATAAACCCATGCCACAGACCTTGATTTAATCCATTAATTCTTAAGAAAACACTTAATATTGTAAAGATAGGACAAAATTATATTGAGAATCTATTTATACATGTTTTGAATAAAAAATGTTAAAATAAGACTGCAATGTTAAATAGTTAATTTGCTATATGGCAATATTAAAAAAATCTTTGGAATTATATTTTCTACCAGACATAAGTCCACAATTGAAGATGAAACTTATAAATGTTTGATCTCTAACTGAATAATAAATTCAAACACAGGTAGCGATTCTTAAGTAATTCCCTGGTATGACATTAAAAGTGCATGCCATACTTTCAATATGACTTCATTCTTTTGATTTTCAAATTTTGTATAACTTTTCTTGATATTATTACACATTGTAAATTGATGGAATTTTTCTTCTGAGTTTTAAATTTTCTGGGTCATCAACTTCGGAAAACTGACATGTATTAAATGAAAAATGGGGATTTATAGTGTGGAGTCTTTTTTTCTTATCTGTGGAGTTACATTTCACAGTTTAATAAAATTCTTAGCAATTTGTGCCAATGCAGGAATGTGAACAACATTTCGAGGACAGCTTTTGGTATAAGGGAACATTGCTTATACCTGGGAAGTACTAGTGCATAATGAATTTGGTGCTTAGATTTTCTAAATTGTGTATTTTTTTTTACATTAACTACAGTCAATATATCAAGTTTATAAAGATATATAATATTATTTGATATAATTTCAAATATTTCACGCACTTTGCAGGTCTCAACGTTAGCTCATGGATGTTGAATGTGAAGCTTTTAAGATTATTTTTTATAATGTCAGCTACATAATTAGGAATTTTCCGGTTAGAGTACATCTTTTTCCCACCTTATGTATTTAGGTTGTAAATAGTAAAAATAATAAAATTGTAGATCATAGGAATAAAAATATGTCATTTAAGGCAAAATAAGAGTACAGGATGGTTGAATAGTCCATGTATTTTATTAACTTGAGTGAAATGAATTAACATTCTTTAGTCAATACCACAATGGAAGCAAATTCACCATTAAACTGAGGAACTTATCTCTGGAGATTCTCTCTCAGCTGAAATAATTTTACAAATCTGTGGTTAAGTAGCTTCATCTCTGAATATGCCAGCAACAGTGAAAGAGCTGAATGGCCTATGAACTATGAAACTCTCACTTTACAAGTGGTCCAATAGGAACAGTGTTTAGCATGCACACAGCTCATGTGAGGCTGTTGGAATCTCCTTTGTATTCTATTCCTGCTTTCTGGGTTAACAGAGGGCTTACATGTTTAGAACTGTCAAGTGAGTATCTTTTTACAAGCATTACACCAATTTCAGTAGAGGGTAAAAGAACAAAGAATGTAATCTTATTCATATAATTCAAGAGCACTCAATTATTTGGGCACTCTGAGATCGTTATTTTATCATTTTGAAGAGCATGTAGTTAATTGAAGAATAAAGTGGATCTGACTTAGGAAAACTACATTTTAAAAAATACTATCTATGGCAATTCCTGTTGCTATTTCAAGTTTTCCAAGTAGAAGTTTTTTTTTTTTTTTGTCTGTTGTTGTTTTTCCTAAGACTCTTATTCCAGTTTCTAATTTTAAGTCTTATTGATACATGCTTTCTCTAGTTTTCTCATATAAAGACATACATTACTGTCTGATATATTTTAGTAGCCTCTTTCTTCAGCATTTGATCATTTCTTCAATATTTTCTATCTTTTACCGATTGACTACATCTTATTTCCCCAGTATAATACTGTAGTCTTCACTGTTCCCTCAATATCAGCCTTTTTCTTCATAGTTTCATAATTAGATTGGGGAGGATAAAACACAAATATATTGCCAATGAGCTTCTATAATCTTGTCAACAATGGCAATTTTTTAAGAAGTTTAGGGGATTTGTGGTTTTCATATTGTTGCCTGTGAAGGTAGCGTTTGTGTACTCATCAGGAAATTAAATGCTAATGGTGAAAGCAAGCTATTATAAGCAAAATGATATAGCCAATTAGGTCATCTTTTTCTGTAAGATTTTGTTTAATCCTGTGTAGAGTTGATAATAAATTGTTAAGGGTGGGGTATTTTTTAAACATCATCTGGTTTCACCTCTCCATTCTTAACATGAGGAATATATATCCAGAAATGTTAAGTGACCGATCAAAGTTTCACAGTTCCAAACATCTTTCATGTGTCCTGTTCCTGCTGAGATCTTTGATGTGAATTCTTTTTTTTTTTTTTTTTTTGTTTGTTTTTTTTTGTTTTTCTTTTTTTGAGACGGAGTCTCCTTCTGTCGCCCAGGCGGGAGTGCTGTGGCGCGATCTCCGCTCACTGCAAGCTCCGCCTTCCGGGTTCACGCCATTCTCCTGCCTCAGCCTCCCGAGTAGCTGGGACTACAGGCGCCCGCCACTGCGCCCGGCTAATTTTTTTTGTATTTTTTACTAGAGACGGGGTTTCACCGTGGTCTCGATCTCCTGACCTCGTGATCCGCCTGCCTCGGCCTCCCAAAGTGCTGGGATTACAGGCGTGAGCCACCGCGCCCAGCCGTGAATTCTTATTCATCAGAAGAAACCACACCATTCACTTTAGTACTTATGCTCAGAATATTTCTTGTGTTTATATTCTGTGGTGTCCACAAGATATATGTGGGGTTCATTACTTCCATTATGTACATTAAGTTCCTGGAAGGCATTCTACCAATACATTTTGTCCAGTGTGATAAGCCCACGGTATCAATAAAATTTGATAATTTGCTTTTTGTAACTTGTGGCTAATTGCAATTTCAAATAGAGTGATAAGTACAAGCTTCATTGAGACCTTCCTAGTTGATCAAAGGCTTGAAAGACATGAGATAGCTGTGCAGATACCCAGCAGAAAAGCATTCCAGGACAATGTATCAGACAGTACAATTGGCCCAAGGTACCACTATTCCTGTTGTTTATGAGAAGTAGCAGGCAGTGTGGGTGGCCACTGTAGAATAAGCTAGTAATGAGATTGGGGAGTGGATGGTGCAGATCACACAGGGCCTTCTAAGCTGTATTTGACTCATATGGCTGTTGTAACAAATTACTACAAGCTGGATGGCTTAAAATGACATAAATTTATTTTTTCATAGTTCTAGAGACTATAAATGCAAAATCAAGATGTCAGTAGCACCAAGCTTTCTCTCAAAGCTGTAGAGAAGTATCCTTCCCTTGCTTTTCCTAGCTACCAGTCATTAGAACAGGGCCCACTCTAATACACAATGATGTCATCTTAACTTTATCATATTTGCAAAGACTATATTTCCAAATAAAGTCAAACTTCAATATTCCAGATAGACATGCCCTTTTGGAGGTCTATTAAATAAAGTACATAAGCCATTGAGAAGAACTTGTTTTTTAATTCTGTGGAAACGGAGCTATTGCAGGTATTTTAGCAAACAAGTAACATTATCTAGCTTTTAATTTAAAAAGATATCTCTGGTTGCTCCAGTGACATTGGACTGTAGGGGAGCAATGGCATGTAATGGGGAACCAGGTAGGGATCTATCAGTCATGACAAAGGTAAAGAATGATAGTGGCTCGGACCAAGTTTGTGTCCATGCAGGAGGTGAGAAACAGTCAGATTGTGGATATCTTTAGAAGATTAAACCAACAGAATTTCCTGATAAAATCAGCTATACAATATGAGAGTAAGAAAGGGGTACAAAATGATCCCAAATTTTTGCCCTGAGCCATTGGAAGTGACTGTATTATCCACTGAAATGGAAAAGGCTGATAAAGAAGCAGGTATTAACATTTTGTTTTTGTTACCTGAGGACATTTCTGGTAGGCAGTTGATATAGAACTCTGGAGTTTATGAGCAAGGTCTGAGTAGCAGATCCATATTTAGGAGTCACAGCAAATAAATGCATTTAAAGTCACTGAAAGGAATAAAATCACATTGCACATAAGTGTAGATGGAAATGAGAAGATAACCAAGAACTGAGTCCTAGCACATTTCAACATTAAGTGGTAGGGGAGAAGAGAACTCAACAAAGGAGACAGAAAGGACAATCATTACCACCAGGCACGGTGGCTCAAACGCCTGTAATCCCAGCACTTTGGGAGGCCGAGGCAGGGGAATCACCTGAGGTCAGGTGTTGAGACCAGGCTGACCAACATGGTGAAACAGCATCTCTACTAAAAATACAAAAATTAGCTGGGTGTGGTGGCGCATGTCTGTAACCCCAGCTACTTGGGATGCCGAGACAGGAGAATCATTTGAACCTGGGAGGCAGAGGTTGCAGTGAACCGAGACTGTGCCACTGCACTCCAGCCTGGGCAACAAGAGCGAAACTCCATTTCAAAAAAAAAAAAAAAGAACAATCATTAAATCATTATCATCAGAGGTTTTTCAGAAGGGTTAAATAAGATACAGCAATAAATCCATTTAGCTCCATGGTTCACTTTTAGTAAGCACTCAGTAAATCCTAGCTGTTTGTCACTAGTTAACTATTATACTATAGTTATCTGAGTTTCCCACAATACTGTATGTTTCTTGAAGGCAGTTACAAACATGGTACTTGGTACATAATGGGTAATCATTTAATATTTGTTGAATAAATGAGTGAAGTTCCTTATTTGTTTCTGTAATTTTTATTTGTACTTACTCTGTTATAGCCCTTGTGCTATGGTATTATAATGGTTTGTTATTACGGCTGTTAGCTTCCCTATCTGCTCACATTTGAATTTATATTAGATATTAAACACAACTTTTATGGTGTAAAGAGATTAGTCAAGGCAGAATTGAAATAATGATCTCTGTCTCTTTCTTTCCTTTTTCGTTAGCTTTCCAAATATTTCCAGAGTGCATGCACTATTGTTCATATGTACCACTATACCTTATACCAGACTACCATTATCAATCATAAGGATTATTGCAACAGTTTCCTAACTGGTAACTCTTTCTCCTGATGAGATCTCTTCCAAATTCCTCTTATTGTCAAGCCAAAGTGATATTTCAAAATGCACAATTCTGATCAGCTTAGTCTCCCCATAAGACTGTTCAATAATTTTTATCAATAAAATAAAATAAAGATTTCACCTTTGGCCATACTTTCAATCTCATTTTTCTCAGAACTACTTTTAGTGTTCTCATCTGTACCTTCACTAAACCTTTTTTAAAACTTATTTTGTATTTAGCTTTTATTTATTGAGCTTTTAAAAAATAACCATCCCTGTAATAAGAGGTGAGGATACAGCGATAAACAAAGTAGGTAATTTCACTTTCTTTGTGGAGATTACAAAATGATTGATAAGGTAGGCATTTAAATAAATAGCTGCAAATTTGAAGAGTGTTCTAGAACTGCAGGGTGATACGGTTGTGTTTTATGAAGAACCTTAGTCCCAGGTTAGGAGCGGGGTGGAGGGATTCCTTTCATCTTGTCTGCATATATTTATATAAGAAGTGACTCATCCTAGGACACTCTTCACCTCTCAGTTTGTCTAGTCACTTTTCAGATATCAATTTATACATCTGTTATTCATTCAGACTTCAGTGACTCTAAGTTTAGGCTAATGCTCTCGTCTTTTCTGCATTTACCAATCATATCAGGTTTCCTCATTGTAAACATCTGTTTAATGTTCACTCTGTAAGCTTTGTGATGACAAGTATAAGGTTCTATTTATTGCTGTGTCCCTTTTGCTTAGAATGGTCCTGGGTACAATGAATTTTTGTTGAATGAATAAATAAATACATATAAATGTGTCTTTTACCTTTTTCTACTCTCTTGTCCTTTTAAGGACATATTATATCAAAGTTATCCCATGCCTGCAACAAGAGGAAATCAATAAATATTTGTTTAAAACTTAATTAGGAGAGGAGTGTGAATGTGGTTTCTACCTTCTCCAATGCCCCTCCTTCCCTTTAGGCAGATAATTTTCTTTGTTACTCCCTTCAAGCAAAGGCATGACAAAATAATACATTCATGAACACTGAAGTGCTAAGAATATGATATGTTACTTATTAACTATTCCAGATGAGTTTGTCATCTACTAACATCTAGGCATTCGGTATATATTATAAACAGTTCAGATTTTGTTCCTACCAACCTGGATCCTCACCTGCCCAGTTCTCCTCTCTAAAAGGACCGAGTGGTATTAGCACTTGGGTTATTGGAGCATTTTTAATAGTTATAGACTATCATAAAATTTCTAAAGTTCAAATAAAAATAAGTAAAAATATTTTTGTACATTTGTAATCTCATTTAATAATTAACATTTCTAATTATGGAAGTAATAACATGCCTTGTATTTAGAAATAGATTACTGTTTTCAAACATTTTTAAATTGCATCCTCCCATCCTAACAGTGTTAAGCAGGGAAAAATGTTACCATTAATTCTATTTTGCAGAGGAGGAAAGACTCAATTTAATGTTTCCTCACTTGCTTAAGTTTACATGTGTAGAAATTAAGGACATAAGTATTCTAATTTCAAATTCAAAAAGTTTTTTCTACTTAAAAGCATTGCCATTTACTTAGCTTATTCAACACAAACCAGAAAGTTTAACAAACATCTAATGAATTCAGTTTTTTAGACTGCTCTTCAAGGTGATTTAAGAACTCAAACTAATTTCTACAATGTGGGATTTTCCTTGGTCAAAAAAGCATACACAATTATTTCAGGTTTTGGTTTGGTTATGTAGATGTTTAGATTTGCTTGTCTTAAATATCCTATTTCTTAACATAATGGAATATGTTTTGTGTTAATAAAATAAAACCAATAGGAGGATAAAAATCACTCCTTTATATTTGGCACACTTAGGCTTGCTGAGAGCTAGTCCCAGTGGTGGCCCAGAAGTCGGATATTTTCATTTTCTTGTTCTGAGAAAATTAAATTACCCTGTTTCAAGAAGTTGAGAGTTATACTGGAATATCACCCATCTGAGTGCATTCACAGAAACTCTCTGGAGTGATCATTATGCTAAACAAAATGCTCAAGCAGCTCTTGATACCTATTGGTTTCAATGACACTCACTTTATACTCTTATTAGTATTTATTTTTATATTATTTTCTTTTTAGATAGAGCCTGAACTTTTCTGCATTTCAAATTATGGGAACAGATTCCCTTTACCCTTCGAAAATTCCGGTAGAAGTGGTTCCCTTTAAGTCATATCAGACAGGTTAGTCAGAAAATGTGAGCAGATTGGGAATCATCAATTAATCCTATTTTTTCTATTATGGGAAAAATTATCTAGGATGCTTTCTTTTTTTTATTTTTCTCTTTCCCCATCTTAAAAAATAAAACAAAAACAAAACAACGACAATAAAAAAGAAAGGTAATAAGACACTAACTACATAAGTAATGGGCACACAAACTTTAATAAACTTTGTTTTTAAATCTTGTTTTATTATTTTAGGATCATTGTTATTGTTATTATTTTAACATCTAATAGAGACTTATATATAATTTCATGGAATTTATTGCTAAATACGCTATTTGAAATGGTTAAGTTTAGTATATTTCGATTCGATGAATAACCTGAAAAAGAAAACACTCTAAAAATTTATATTAAATGGAATAAATAAGCTCTGTATCTTGTATGCTGATTGAGAGCTTAGAATAATTAAGAAGTTATGTAATAATTATCAGAAAAAAATTAAAAACTTGGAACTTTGATAAATAATAAAAGTAGAATTTCTTTTAATTTCTCTTGGAGTCTAGGCTCATATCTGACAGATAGTAAAGAATTATATAAATGCTAATTAGATGAATAAAGGAACATATAGATGACTTTGGTCACATGACACATTGTTAGTTGCTGAAAACACAGCCTTGGCACTCATGAAACTTACATTTTTAGTTTCCACTGCTTCACGCTACACACGTCACCATTATTGGTCTTTTGGAATACCACGGTAATTTCTTAACTATTTTCTTTGATTCTGCTCTTGCTCTTCCTTGGAAAATAGAATTAGAAACAAAATATCCTCCCAATTCAAAAAACCTCTTCACAGTTGCAGAAGAGAAAGTAACAGTTAGATTATTAAATAAGCATTAAACTAGAATGTGTTGTGTGTCACAGGCAATGGAATAAGAGATTGAAAAGACAGAAAAAAAATTTCACCCTTTTATTTAGCCAAGCAGTTATAACTCGTTACATAAATGTTCTCAAGATAAACAATAACTAGGCCTCAAATAAGAGGTCTTGACAGCACCATTTGTCACACATAGTTCATTCTAAATTCATTTGATAATTGGGGTGACCATCTGTGTAAGCTAATTGCCTTTATCCAAAGAAATAATGAAGTTTTTGTATCTTCATGAAAAAGTTTGTTTTACAACTTGGAATGAGTCACCTGAGGATGTTAGGCTTTGCTTTTCCATAGAAACTGGAAGACAAGGGTGCTCTGTGTGTGTGTGTGTGTGTGTGTGTGCACGCGTGTGTGTGTGTATGTGTATATATATATATATATATATATATATATATATGATGACTACATCTCACATAGGTGACTCTGAGATCCTTGAGAAAGACATTTGTGGGTTTCAAAGCTAGCAAGAGGCTTATTCAGCTTTTAAAAAGATTTATGTGTATTTTAAAGAGACAGAGAGAGAACTAATAACATTTCTAAAGTAAATGCTCCAAGAAAAGGAGGAGGAGACTCTTCTCTTATTTTCAACAGAGAGAATTCAGCCTTTCATTTTTAATTTGCATTTTCCCTTCTGCCCCTTCTAATCTCTACACAGAAACCAGATAGATCACTCAAAACATTACTCACTTTTCGGAACTACTCTAAAGTTTTCCGTCTCACCCAGAGTGAAAGTAGAAATTCTTAATATAGCCTACAAAGCTCTACGTTACTTTGGCTTTTCCCCATTCCCCATCATCCTCCCTTATCTATGAGCTCATACTGCTGCCCTGATATAGTTTGGATCTGTCTGTGTCCCCCTTCAAATCTCACACTGAATTGTAACTTTCAGTGTTGGAGGTGGGGCCTAGTGGAAGGTGATTGGATCATGGGGGTGGATTTCCTTCTTGATACTGTGTTGCTACAGTGAGTGAGTTCTTGTGAGATCTGGTTGTTTAAAAGTTTGTAGCACCTCCTCCCTCTCTCTCAGTTCTGCTCCTGCCACGTAAAATGATTGTTCTCACTTTGTCTTCTGCCATGAGTAAAAGCTCCCTGATATCTCCCCAGAAGCAGACGCTGCCATGCTTCCTGTACAGCCAGAGGAACATGAACCAATTAAACCACTTTTCTTTATAAATTACCTAGTTTTAGATATTTCCTTATACTAATGCAAGAACAGACCGATATAGAAAATTGGTACTGTGGAATGGGACATTGCTATAAATATACCAGAAAATGTGGAAGCAGCTTTGGAATTGGGTAATGGGCAGAAGTTGGAAGAGTTTGGAGGGCTCAGAAGAAGACAGGAAGATTAGGAAAAATTTGGAACTTCCTAGAGACTTGTTGAATTGTTGTAACAAAAATGGGGATAGGGATATGGACAATGAAGTCCAGGCTGAGGAAGTCTTAGATGGGAATGAAGAACTTATTGGGAGCTGAAGTAAAGGTCACTTTTGCCATGCTTTAACAAAGAGCTTGGTAGGATTATGCCCCTGCCCAAGGTATCTGTGCAATTTTGAACTTGAGAGTGATGATAGGGTATCTGGCAAAAGAGATTTCTAAGCAGCGAAGTGTTCAAACTGTGTCCTGGCTGCTTGTAACAACAACTATGCTCATATGTGTGAGCAAAGAAATGACCTAAAACTGGAGCTCTTATATTTAAAAGGGAAACAGACTGTAAAAGTTTGAAAAATTTGCATCCCAGCCATGTGGTAGAAAAGAAAAGCCCATTATCAGGGAAGGAATTCAAGCAGGCTGCAGAAATTCACATAAGCTAAAGAAGAGCCAAATGCTCATAAGCAAGACAATGGAGGAAAGGCCTTGAAGGCATTTTAGAGACATTCCGGGCACTCCCTCCATCAAAGGCCTGGAGGTCTAAGAGGGAAGAATGGTTTTATGAACCAGGCCTAGGCCACTGCTGCTCTATGCAGCCTTGGAACACTGCTCCCTGGATCCCAGCCATGCCAGCTCCAGCCATGGCTCACAGGGTACCATGTCCTTAGGCTGCTGCTTCAGAGGGAGTGTTAGTCCATTTTCATGCTGCTGATAAACACATACCAGAGACTGGGAAGAATAAGTTGTTTAATTGGACTTACAGTTAGTTCAACATGGCTGGGGAGGCCTCAGAATCATGGCAGGAGGCAAAAGACACTTCTTACATGGAGGTGGCAAGAGGAACTGAGGAAGATGCAAAAGCAGAAATTCCTCATAAAACCATCAGATTTCATGAGACTTACTTATTCACTACCATGAGAACAGTATGGGGGAAACAATCCCCATGATGTAAATTATCTCCCACTGTGGCCCTCCCACAACACGTAGGAATTATGGGAATACAATTTAAGATAAGATTTGGGTGGAGACACAGAGCCAAACCATATTATTCTGCCCTTGGCCCCTCCAAATCTCATGTCCTCACATCTCAAAACCAATCATGCCTTCCCAACAGTCCCCCAAAGTATTAACTCATTTCAGCATTAATTCAAAAGTCCACAGTCCAAAGTCTTACCTGAGACAAGGCAAGTCCCTTCCACCTATGAGCCTGTAAAATCAAAAGCAAGTTAGTTACTTCCTAGATACAATGGGGGTACGTACCATCATTTAGTAAATATAGCCATTCCAGGGGAAATTGGCCAAACAAAGGGGCTACCAGCCCCGTGCAAGTCCGAAATCCAGCAGGGCAGTCAAATCTTAAAACTCCAAAATGATATCCTTTGACGCCATTTCTTGTGTCTGGGTCACACTGACGGAAGAGGTGGGTTCCCATGGTCTTGGACAGCTCTGCCCCTGTGGCTTTGCAAGGTACAGTCTTCCTTCTGGCTGCTTTCACAGGCTGGTGTTGAGTGTCTGTGGCTTTTCCAGGCACACAGTTCAAGCTGTCAGTGAATCTACCATTCTGGGGTGTGGAGAACAGTGGCCCTTCTGTCACAGATCCACTAGGTGATGCTCCAGTTGGGACTCTGTGGGAGGGCTCTGAACCCCACATTTCCCTTCTGCACTGCCCTAGCAGAGGTTCTTCATGAGCGCCCTGCCCCTGCAGCATTGAGGCATTTCCATACCTCTTCTGAAATCTAGGCAGAGGTTCCCAAACCTCAATTCTTCACTTCTGTGCACCTGCTGGCTCAACACCATGTGGAAGCTTCCAAGGCTTGGGGCTTGCACCCTCTGAAGCCACAGCCCAAGCTCTATGTTGCACCCTCTGAAACCATGGCCCAACCCTCTTACAGCCATGGCTGGAGGAGCTGGGATGCAGGGAGCCAAGTCCCTAGGCTACACACCACATGGGGACCCTGAGTCCAGCCCATGAAACCATTTTCTCCCAGGTCTCCAGGTGTATGATGGGAGGGGCTGCTGTGAAGACCTCTGACATGCCATGGAGATATTTTTCCCATTATTTTGGCAATTAAAATTTGGCTCCTCATTACTTACGCAACATTTTTCTGCAGCTGGCTTAAATTTCTCCTCAGAAAATAGGTTTTTCTTTTCTATCAAATTGTCAGGCTGCAAATTTCCCAAACTTTTATGCTCTGTTTTCCTTTTAAAACTGAATGCTTTGAACAGCACCCAAGTCACCTCTTAAATGTTTTGCTGCTTAGAAATTTCTTCCACCAGATAGCCTAAATCATCTCAAGTTCAAAGTTGCACAAATCTCTAGGGCAGGGGTAAAATGTCACCAGTCTCTTTGCTAAAACATAACAAGAGTCACCTTTGTTTCAGTTCCCAAGAAGTTTCGCATCTCCATCTGAGACCACCTCAGCCTGGACCTTATTGTTCATATCACTATCAGCATTTCTGTCATAGCCATTCAACAAGTCTGGATGTGAGACATGAAATTAAAGAAGAAGATTTTGGAGCTTTAAGTGATTTTCCTGCTGGGTTTCATCCAGATTTCCATGGTTCCTGTAGCCCCTCCTTTTTGGCTGATTTCTCCCTTTTGGAATTGGAATATTTACCCAATGCCTATACCTCCCATGTATCTTGGAAGTAACTAACTTGTTATTGATTTTACAGGCTCATAGGTGGAAGGGACTTGCTTTGTCTCAGATGAGACTTTGGACTTTGGATTTTTTAATTAACGCTAGAATGACTTATGACTTTAGGGCACCGTTGAGAAGGGATGATTGTATTTTGAAATGTGAGAAGGACATAAGATTTGGAGAGGCCAGGAGCAGAATGATATTGTTTGGAGTTGTAATACTCAGTGTTGGAGGTGGGGCCTGGTGGGGTGTGATTGGATCACGGGGGTGGATGTTCTCCTTGGTAATCTGTCAAAATAGTGAGTGAGTTCTCATTATATCTGGTTGTTTAATAATGTGTAGCATCTTTTTCCTCTTTCTTTTGGTCCCGCTTCTGCCATGTGAGACACCTGCTCGTGCTTTGCCTTCTGCCATGAGTAAAAACCCCCTGATGACTCCCCAGAAGCAGACGTTGACATGTTTCCTGTACAGTCTACAAAACCACGAGCAAATTAAACCTCTTTTCTTTATAAATTACCTAGTCTTAGGTATTTATTTTTAGCAATGCAAGAATGGACTAATAATATACCCTCTTTCTTATTCACTCTTTTCTGGTGTTCCTTTAACATACCAAGCATTCTGGGCTTCAGCCTTAGTATCTACCACATCTTCTCTCTGGAATATTCTTTCCCTAAATCTATGTAGGGCTTGTCCTTTACCTTCTTTACTCTGCTCAGATATTACCTTATCAGTGAGGTCTTTTCTGACTAGCTTTTATAGTATGGTACTTTTTTCCCCACTTCTCTTATACCTCATAGCCATATTCTTCTTTAATTTTTTTCCTTAGCACTTAGTCATCATTTAATTATATTTTTATTGGTTTGTCAGCATATCTCTTTACTTATTGTTGGCTAATGAATCCCATCAAAAATTAATAGCTCAGATTAAGCATAATCATTTTATTAACTCTTATGTGGTCTGTGAGCCAGAGTTTCAGAAAGGGCTCTGTTGGATCATCCTGGCTCTGAGTGTCTCATGCAGTTGCAGTGGCATAGTGGCTACAAGTGGGAGAGTAGGGCTGAAGCAGCTTGGGGCTGACCAGTGCAGGTACTAGATAAATATATTTAAGTAAATGAATTAATTAGATGTTGAATAAGAAAAGACCCTCATGGAAACTTGCCATTCTTATATTCATAAAATATGCACTCTCATTTGCATATCAAATTAAAGAATTTTGCTTTCAATATGTTGAAATGAAAATCACAGATCATGTGTATGTGCAGTGTGTTAAAGAGGTGGCTGTTTGCCCATAGGCTTTCTCACAGATGAATCTAAAATTCAAAGAAGATGCCATTCATATGTTTAAAATGCTTCAAAGCTACCACCTAGGCTAAGGCAGCTCTTTTCAAACTTTTTAAGCCATGGCTCACAGCAAGAATTACATTTTATGTTTTCTCATCACTTCTTAGAACACCAGTCCACAAAAACCCATACTGACTGTGTCTATACACATATTTATTGAAATCAGTGTCATGTATCCAGCAATATGTTTTAATATTTTATCCTCTCCTTTTAGTTTTCTCTCCTCACTTTCATCTTCTTTTCTTTCTTGTTCTTTTCGCTCCTTTTCTTTCTTCCATTCTTTTTCCCTCTGTTTTTTGTTCCCTGTTCTTCTTGCTTCTATTTTGTTCTTTTCTCTTCTTTTTTTTCAGTAACAACAAGCAAACAAAAAACCCAAAACACTACTATGTAGGTCCATTGAATTGATTTGCAGACCTCATAAAGGACCACTATCTGCCCTTGGCTCTTGGTTTCTGCATTAGTCCTGTAGAATTATAACCCTGGGGGCAGCATCCTGAGACTACTTTAAAAGCATCCCAGGCATTCTTTAGAAGTAAACTCTCAGCTAAATCTAAGGTCTAAATAACTTAGTAAACACATGAGACTCTTCATGATCTGATGCCTGTCATTCTTTCTGACCTCATTTTGTACCGCTATTCTTTTCCCACTTAATGTTATAAAAATATTGACATATATGTGACTTTTGCATATACTTTCTACTTGTACTTTTCCCACTACCTGAATCAGTGTATTCCTTTTTCTCACCTGCCTCTTGTTGTTCATCCAGCCCTGCAAACAAAAAGATTTCACAAAAGAAATATACAAACATGTCTTAAACACATGAAAGTATGGGAAACATTAATTTAAAAATGCAACAAGATTCAATTTTCCACTTTGAAAAAGAAAAACTGTGTAAAACATTCTATTGGCCAAGATGAAAGAAAGTTAGCATTTGTGTACTTTGCTTATGATAGTATAAAAGGGTAAAAACAATGACAAGAACAATTTGGAAATACAGATTAGAATTTTCAGATGAAATTCACTCTCACCCAGACATCCTACTTAGAAAAATTAGTATTCAATAAACTGAAACATGTATGAAATATTTATAAAGGTTGCTTGTTGAAACGTTGTTTTTAGTGTTTTAACCCATCTACAAAATCTATTAATAGGTGTTGTTAAGTTACTTACAGCACATCTATACAATGCAACATTATGCAGCCCTTAAAAAGAAAGAGACCAATTTTTATGTACTGATAGTGAAAAGCTAGCCAACGTATACTGAAATGTTGACAAAAAAGATAAAGAATAACGCATATAGTATGTGATCATTTGTTCCAAATGTGCATTTGATTGTATATGCATAAAATCTCTCTGGCAGTGGTGGTGGTAGAAACTAGAAACTAGACAGTGGTGGCAGAAAAACTATGGGTACTAGGGAACACAAGTTAGGTAGACAAACTTCCTTATGTAACCTTTCATATCTACTTAGTTTTGTACATTTATTTTTATCTTTTAAAATATACTCAATAAATTTTGAGATACTTAGTTTTAAAGGAGTATTACATTTCTTCAGTGAAGGATTCCTAGTCTAGACTAGCCTACTCTGGTATAGAATAAAGATGTTACCACAATGTTATGATTCTGATATTCAGAAATAGAACCAGTTGCCCATACAAACCACAACAGAGTGGAGTAGGTCCAATAATTTCCTAAATTGCATACAATACTAGACTTAAAATAGGGATGTGTGTGTTTAAGTAAAGTCATACCTACTTAAATTGAACCTACTGATTCACTGAAAGCACTGAGATTTTTTTTCTCTCACATAAACTGTCCACTGATTTGATCATTAACTATTTAGCAAATAATTAAGGTGTTCTTAACATAGACTTTATATATGTAAAACACAGTTTTTATTTTGCTGGCTTTCATTCACTGATTAACAGGATTACCTTCCCAGGTAATTTTACTCCACTAACTGACATTTTTGGGTAACTTACCCCTCCAACCATAAATCAGACTAATCATAGTGTTATCTCATTGAATTTTCTTCATCTTGCTTATAACAATTTAATATGACACAACATCAAATTTATCGTTGAAATTAGAACATTCTCCATGTGTGAACTCCTCTCACCTGTGTGTAGGATGGAGTTGATATGCACTATACTGGAAAACTCTAGACTTTAGAGTTGCCTGGATGTCTGGCTTTACTTCTTAGTTAAAATAACGAGAGTAGAATTTAAACTCTGAAATGATTCTGGTAACTCCCTGGGATATTTTGTTTGTTGATTATTTTCACTCAGCACAAGCAGTTAAACAGCTTGGTGTAACTATTCGATTAGAAAGACGTCCTGGCAATTTGTGACTCCAGTTCTCCTAAAGCCAAGATTTATTGCAAAGATCTTGGTTTAATAGGGATAGGAAGTGCCTTGAGTGTGTTGAAAAAGACCTTGTGAAGCAGAGTGCCCAATCTTTTGGCTTCCCTGGGCCACATTGGAAGAAGAAGAATTGTCTTGGGCCACATGTAAAATACACTAACACTAACCATAGCTAATAAGCTAAAAAAAAGAAAAGAAAAAAGAAAAATAAATTTAAAATTCATTAATTAATTAAATCTTAATGTTTTAAGAAAGTTTATGAATTTGTGTTGGGCTACATTCAAAGCTGTTCTGGGCCACATGAGGCCCACGGGCCGTGGGTTGGACAAGCTTGCTTTAGAGTTTGCATATACGGTTATCTCTTGGAACTCCAATGCTTGCCTGAACTCTCTTCCTTTTCTTCTTTTTTTTTCACACTGCAAACTTTGCCTTTTTAGCAAAGCATTACTATAAAGCATTACTCTTTTGGGTCTGATGAAGCCTTTCCAGTATGTCAGCTTATGAAAAAAATTCAAATTTCCTATACAACTTCATTAAAATTCTCAAAAGATGTTAGTCTGAAATTTGTTTATTAATGAACCCATGCAGGCTCCTAATGATTAAATAAAATGACCACACACACACACACACACACACACACACACACACTCTCATACACACACACTAATCTTCTGCTTAATTATCCTTTGTACAAAGTTCCAAAGGATGACTATTAAAGTTATTATTTGTAATTTTCAAATTACAAGATTCTTCCTTTTTGAAAATTTGTATGTTTGCCTGTCATTAGTTATTGAACCACTATATAGCTGACTATGATTTTCAAAGATTTTTCCAGTTTCAAACCAGTTTTGAATTCCTGTTTTAAAACTCTGATTGGTGCACATGGGTCAGATATCCAATAAACTGAAGCCTGGAAGTACACAAATGTATATGGTATTGCAAAGCTACCAGAGACTCAAACAACATGCCCAATTTTGGTCTCAGAGACTAGAAAATGAGAATCCTGTGAAATCCTGTAGTTGATTTCAAGTTTCAAATATTTGTACATCTCTCTCTGCTTTGTATTAGAGCTCCAATGCCACAATTCTAATCACCTATTTAATACTAATGTTTCCCTAACATCAAGAAATATAAAGTTAATCTGTATTGCTTGAAATAGTATAATATTACCAATAACAGTGAGTCGTATTTATAATGTACAAGGCAATGTTTATTTGCATACATTATTTTTTGTGTTCATGCCATCTTTTTGTGATAGGTACTTTATTAGCTCTCTTGTATAGGTGGAAAAACGGAGGCACAGAGATGTTATGTAAGTTCTTTAAGATCACGAGGCTGGTCAGCATTGGAGTTGCAATTCAATCTCAGATCTTTTCTACTCTAGAGCTTATGACTGTAAACAGTATTTTACATTGCTTTTCATAACAGTTTTCTCTTTTGACTTATTTTTTTTCTAAATCAATAAGACTTAAAATCTCAATGTCATCTTCAATGTCAATTTTCACTGTGCCATCTCATAATGCCATTAACCAATAACTTCTAGTATCTTCAAACACAAACTCTCTCTGGTTTAAGCCCTGGTTCCTGGAGACCTGAAATGCTGCAGGGGTTTCTATATGTGCTTTCTGTTTCTATTCTTTCCCCTGCCAACTCCACTTCTTACACGCCTCTTTATACACGATTAGTAGGATGAACTTACTAAATCAAAGCTCTGATTATGTCTTAAATTTTCTGTGAAAACCTTTTAATGGTATCATATTATCTGCCAAAAAATTCTTTTGGTTGGTCAGAACATGCCAATTCAGTTTCAGTTTTTTTCCTTCTTATCTTTTGCTGTTTACACACATGGAGACTCTGGTTCCCTCAAACTTCCTTGTTCTTTTTTAGCTTTCCTCCCTCATTGCCCATCACAAAGCCCTTGTGTTTTTTCACCTCTGCCTTCTTCTCTAATGATGTTTTTCCAGTTTGGAAAGCAAAACTTGGGTCCTCAAACTTGTTCAGTCTTTCACACTGCCTCTTTCTTACCTTCTTTCACCAAGCACCTACCATCCCTAATTTATTGATTGCCTTGTCATGTCAGTTCTGTTTTCTTTTGTCCGTGTTGCTTAAATGGCATTCTATCTTGCTGAGAGATTAGCTTGACAATTTGTACATGATGATTAACAAATTCACTAACATTTATTGATCGATTGGTTTTGTACTTTATAAACTGAAATATAGTACTTTACTTTTTCTGCAGATGTTTCATAATTACAAACATCTCAAAACTTTTGGTGCAGCAAAAAGCAATTTAAAAGAGCATTTGCCAACTTTTTTTAGCTGTCGCAATGGAAACATCTAGGATATTTTTCTTTTCCTTTTTTTTTTTTTTTTTACTGTTTGTCCAATAAGCCTAAAACTATATTCTAGGGGCAGATAATGGCTCTGATTGCAGCTGAGGTACACAGAAGGGAAAACAAACATTCAGCTCTAAAAACCATGGAGTTAAGAACCCAGCTCCAAGTCTTTTGTGCCCATGGAATTAAAGGTCACTAAGCTCCTGCCTCATGCTGACTTGGCATCTACCTACCCCTCAGCCATGAGACCTTGACTTCCTGAAGCGCACTCAAGGGATTGACTGCTTACTGTGGATTTGTCTTTACTTCAAGTCAAGTGATTTTGCTTTTAAAAGAAATGGAAGCCTCTCATTCTATGTCATGGAATCCTAGAGGGAAGAAACAATTCCCTGTGATACCTCTATTTCTCAAATTCATCATTGCATTTATTTATTAACTCAACTTTGTCAGAACTTGTTTTTCCTTATAAAAATATCCATGATGTTTGGAATATGTAGGTTTGTGTGCTAAAACAATCTTTGCCTTCAATTCATATTACTATTAAATATATTTATGCTGCGCAGATATATAGCACACAATTTATTATGTAGGTGTAATATAAACGTATTAGGATGGCACAGTATAACATAAAAGAAGTAGATACAATAGCAATATATCTGTAAAGACATTTTAATGAAGCATTAATGAAAAGCACATCATTAACTTCTTTCTAGGCTTGATAATATTCATTTATGTTATAACACTCTCTGAGAAACTTGCTGCTGAAAGCTGGAAGTGACCTAGGGATCATCCATTTCAAACATCTTACCCTCTGCCAGCATATTCTGCACAATACACTTGCCTCATGGTATCCATTTGTTTGTACATTAATAAAGGAGCTATTGTGTGTGGCACTGAAGCACCTCTGTGAAGAGTGGCACTTATTAAACACTCTGACTATCCAACAAGGTACCTGGTATCAGAAGGTGGCATTAAGGAAACAGATGAACATTATGCAGCTTGAAACTTATCAACTTAGGGATTGCAAGAGAAAAGTAGAACAAATATTCTTACCTAAATTTTCAATCAGACAAAATTGCAGTGAAATTTTGTCCATGTCTAATGTACAGTATAATTTTAAACATTTTGCCATTTTCATTAAGGCTGAGCAATTTTAAAGTGAGCCTTTGCATTCTGGCTAATACAGCAGGAGTGGTGTTATTATAGCACTGACTGCAGCTGCTTAGAATAAGGCATTTGGAGTGTGTTCAAAACTGATTTGATGACTAACTTGAACACGAGGATTATATTTTACCCAAGATGCTAGCTCATATACCATAGGCAATTGATTTTCTACTTTAATGTAGAATTTCCCTAAATTACTCCATTGACTTTCAATTTGGGTTGACCAGACTAGAAATCCCCCAGGACACTTCATTAATTCCCAGTAAGGGTGCAGCTCTCTGAATTATTAAAGCTGAATGTGTTTTAGTTTTCTCACTTGCAAAATGAAGCCTAGGTAGTTCTTGGCATCCTTCTGACTCTAATTCTTAGATGTAGTTGTCACCAAGTAATTCTTAGCTTTACAGTAGTCTGTTTACTTGCTAATATATGAAGAAACACTATGAATTATGGATATCAATGCAATGGTTTCCATACAGAAACCCTTAATAAATATTTGTTGAATTAATAATTTTGTGCAGGAGAATCACCTGAATTATGGGTATAACAACACTTTGCTAAAATAAGTAGAGATCTTCACTGTAGCCTAAACTATGTTTAATCTCTTGAATATCTGAAGAGCGTGGGGAGTATATCACGGACTACTTGACAAGACATCAGGTTAAGACTTGAGAAAGTACTAATTCTAAAAGGAGGGCAAATGAAGTAACTCAATGTCAGAGGGCTATGAAACTTTTAATGAAGAACTTTATTATTTAATCAGGTTGCAATATGTTCTATATTTCTCAAATTTATATCCACATGCTGAGAGGCATAATCAGCAATGAACCTGGAGAGAACATATCCAAGTAAAGGTCATAGATCGAGTGTACTTTCAATTTTTTTCTCTTTTGCTACTGCATTAAAGCTACAGTGAGAACATTAAAAAATACGTAAGCTGACAAGGATAGAAGTATAGGGGTAGTGGTGACTGTAAAAAAAAATTATATCTAGATAATATAAATGGAGGAGTATTAACTGGCATAGCATCCAAATAAAGCCAAATTCCACAATGGCAATAAGGAGAGGTGAAATCATCCTGATTTACACTGTAGGATCAGCAAAAGTCTCAAAAACTTAGGGAACCAAGCATATAGGACTGGAAATGAATTGGATATGAGGTAAAATATAGAGCACCAGAGTGAAAGCTACTTGAGAAGTCAAATCCTTACATTCTCTGACTTTATAATCCCTAATAAAAACCTGAAGTTTGACTAGAAAGAGAAAGTTCATCACATGGTCTCTGAATTGAAGGAGTTGGGTCATGATACAAACTCTATGTTGTGGCTAAAATTTACAAAACAGGAATGCTGCATGTGAATTTAAAGACCTGTCAGCCTTATTTTTGTTCCTAAATCCCTAAGAACAGTCAATCAGACTCTCTAGGCAAGATTTATAAAGATTTTTATCTGAGGAATCTCACCAGTCTCAAAGAAGCTCACAAAAGATAAGGAGTTCTCTAATAAATGAAGCAACATACAACCTGATTTGTCCGGTATAGTTCTAGTTTATGCATATTGTTTTGACATATGAACAGTGCCTCCTTAATCTCAAAACTTTAGACAATGATTTGCATGGCTACCCCATGCTTTACTGAAACTTAAAGTTGACAAATTGAATTTACATGCTCAAAACTACAAATGAGATTTTAATTCTCTCACTCTTTGTTATGAGCCAAGGATGATAAGACTTCTGAATACAGCTTCAGTTATGAAAGATTCACACACACACACACACACACACACACACACACACTCTCACACTCCAAATTGGCAGAAAGAAAAAAACTAAAAGAATAAGTATTAGCAATATTTTTAAGAGACAAGACAACTTATTTTGTTAATAAAACAAGATACTATTTAAAAATGAAAAAAAAACAACTCTTGGAAACTAAAATAAATAAATAGTAGAAAACTGTAAGACCTATTCAGAATGTCAACTTTTGAATAATAAGAGATTCGGAAAGATAAACACAGAAAATAGAGAGGATGATGTTATAAAAAAGTTATTCAAGGAATATTGAAACCACTGAGTGCCTAGCAAAATAGATGAAATATGAAAGTCGTCCATTATGAAATTTCAAACCAAATATGATTTAGCTTTTGGTCATGGCAGTTTGGCTTGCATTAGACCAACTCTCCTGCTGAACACAATTAGAAAAATTGATAGAAAATCTACATAAAACCTAAAACACGTTGGCAGGAAATTGTAGGGTTCTGAGTGCCCAGAGAAATTGACACCTGGGCTTCGGGTGAGAATGTTCCTTTGCCCCTAGAAACTTCTTTCCTCATTGGGAGAGAGACAGAGCTAGCCCAGAATATAGTCCTATAAAGAACAGGCTTTGGAGCTATAGAATGTACCCAGCAGGAGGCTGGTATACGTTTTATTTGCATTTTTAAGTTGTTCATATATGCTGTGTACACTTTTCAGTATGTGTAATAAAATTAATAAATAATAATATAAAAATATTGAAAAGAGCTCCTTTGTTGGAGTTCTGAAGACTTTGGATAAGAAAGAACATAGTGTTTTGGGGCTCAAGTAACTTACTTTAAGAATGATCTGGTGGAGGAGATTGCCTCACTTTGTTAGTACACTCTGGGGCTCTGGTCTGCTGTGGGGCTAACATTGTGTTTTGAGTAGGAGGAAATGTTGTCAGCAGCTCTGAAAGCTCAAGAGTGGGGGTGGTGACTTTGTATGCACAAGTTACCTTCCCGATGTCATTACCACGGAGAGCTGTAACTGTAGAAGAGGAAAGTCGATAGCCTTGGATTCTAAGGAGATTTGCTTCTATGTGCCAAGAACAAGGGCAGAAGGAGGAAACAGGAAGTGTATTTATACTTTGCTTGGATATAACTGGTAAACCAGATTCATAGAATACAGCAAGTGTTTTAAGCTGTTCATATTGTTGCACACAACATATGCAACATTAATTATATAACTTTGAATCAGAATTGAAGGTCTGTAAAATGCTTCTGAAATCTTATCACATATAACCTAAATAAATCTTTGTGAGATATTATACTTTTTCTGTCTTCTCCATTAAGCTGAATCTTGAGAATGGAATTATGTCATTTATTTCTATATACGTGTCTGCCTCATCTTGTTTCTGAATGGAATGAATCTTATTTCTATTTTTCAAATGGACAAAGTTGATATTTTAAACTTACAAAGTTGAGATTTCAACTAAGATTTGAACTAACTCTTCTTGATAACAAACATGGAAAATACTTGAAATAACTTTAAACTGTTATTTTTTTAATATTAAGCATGTTTTATAAATTAAAATTAGAGGTCATTATAAACAAGCAGCATTTAAGCAGAAATGTCAGATGAATGCTCACATGGGGAAATGCAGAGTCGGAATGGATCATGGTTATAATGGGTCTTACACAGACCAACCCTATCCATGAGGGTTTTCTCTGAGTTGTGGTAAAGTTAATAGAAAAATGTGAATTTTAAAAAAAGATAAATTTATCTAATTCAACATAACATAGTTAATTTAAAATCACATATCTCCTACTTTTTTTGGTGGTTAAAACTTATTTGTTCATAACATCATGGTAAAAAAAATAGTATTATTTTTGTAACACAAGCTGAATTTGGAACCACATATCACCCATTCAATTCTAAAACTATTATTTCTTACTAATAAAGTGATAGAATGATTATAATTTTTCTGTCATCTCTGAGGCAATATAAGCTGACTTTTAAAGTTAAATTATTTACATCATTTGCCATATAAAACTGGAGCACAACTTATTCCTACAGTAAATATTTCTAGAAGGAAAGACATGGTCACATGGCAAACAAAGCTAAATCCAGGATAAAAATGCATCCATCCATAATTCTCTTTCAGAGATGGTACCTTAAGAGGAACATTGTTTGCTTACATGTGCAATTAGGTTTTTAATTAGAGTGTTAAAACTTGAACAGAAACCTCATACGTAGCTAATTAAAAAATAACCAGCTTGCACTCCAATCAGCATACCTGGGTGGTCTTTGACTAGGAAATATATAGATTACTTTATTCAGATTTGGATTATTTTTTGTTCTACCAAAGTAGGAGAGACATAATTCAGTACCCTACTCTGCTTTTCTTTCTCCTTTAAATTTGAATTTGAGTACAAATGACTTTAAATTAGGCTGTTTGTTTCCATAGTGAGTTTAAGGACTTACCCATCAATGTGCAATTTCTTCAACCAACATTACTGTTACAATTTTCTCTGATATAAATAATCCAATTTCTAATAATAATAATAATGATAATTTTAATTTAAACATCTTGCAATGACATTTTTGAGAAAGTATTATAGTCAAAAGTAGATCAAAATCTGCCTTGGGTGCTGGAGGTATAGCAAATTTTCAGGTAAAGGACATTTGACAGGCTTTATATGTTACATAATTTTCTTGTTTTATACATAGATCACATATATGTATATGTATACATAAAGCAATTATTTATGTAACAATTATATATGCATATATGTAAAACAATAGTAACATAGTAGGAATAGAAATTTTCTACCAAGTTTTCTTTTTAGAACAAAAGATTTTCTTACAGAAAGAAATGCTAACATCATACTGTATCTTAGGAAAAAAAAATGTTGTTTGTGGAGCTTTGAGAAAGATAGCATCTGCCAATCCAATAACTCAGCACCTACAATTCTGCTGTATTGTCTGTAGTTAGAATATGAACTGGGAAAATGACAATATATTTTTTCCCCAGGATTGCTCTATGAAGAAGACTCTGCTGGAAATTTGTTGAAGGACAGCAAAGGGAAACAAAAAAAGTAAGAAAATATCTACATCAGGTATTATGAAATAATTTACCTCACTGAATTTTATCTCCATGATAATTGTTCTACTTTTAGCACCCTTCTTTCTCCCTCCCCTTTCTTTAGGTTAATAGAAATAAGCAAATGGAAAACAATTGAGATAATTTTACTCTAAATTATTTCTCAAAATTATTATAATAACAGACTAAGTTTGGTTGTCACCTGCAGCATGACTCTTCCTGCTGTCCCTCTGTTTACTCTCCTGGCTAAGGTGTGTAGCTCATGTTCTCCCACAATCGTCTATTTATATCTATGAGAACACTTACTGCGCTGGTGGAATATTCTATTTATGTGTTGATTCCCTTTCTTGGAATGTAGACTTCTTGAGAATTTTCAAATGTTGAAGTCATTTTTGTGCTTCCAGCACCTAGCACAGTGCCTGATACATAGTAATACTCAACCAACGTTTCTTAAATAAATATCTATCAGCAGGGAACTAATAGATAAGTATACTTAAGTTGAAGTTTTTCGGGCACATATTTGAGTATAAGAACAATTTTTAAAAGTCAGATGTTTAGCTGTCTTAAAAAGCCTAAGTAGTTAACTTTGCATCAATATTGTAGAGCAAATACTTAATCATGGAAAAAAAAAAATCTTAAGTCTTATGCTTTTCACTGCTATCTTGCTATTTTAAAATTTGTCCTGAAGGTGGCAACATTGAATAATTTTCTGCACATTTTTCTAAATAAAGCCTTTATGGCCACTTTTAATTAAAGTTTTATATTTAGAAATAAACACGTTTCCCCCACTTTCTATTGTATTGTAGAAGAAAATATTTTATGGATTTTTTATTTTTTTACCTAGTAACCTTGAATATACATGTTGAAAGAAGCTGTTTGCGACTTTTAAGAATAAAACTTAACCCAAATAAGGTTCAAGGTAGAGCTACTCAAATGTCCAAATGTAAGATAGGGATTAAACACAACATATGTTTTCTGCCAAGCAAATTTATATCAATAGACATGCTTAACTGTAAGTGTAAATCAATGCTAGTTCTTTTTAGGTAAAAACTTATTTTCTTGCTATAGTGATTCAAATTCAACAGAATATTTTTAGTATCCAATGTGATCTGTTAATAAAGGAATACAGATATTTGTCAGGAATTGCTTTAACAAATAACAAGAAACAAGTAACCAGAAACTTAAAAAATTCTGCCATCAACAACTACTTTGTAAAGTTATCAACAATGGAATATATTTGATTATCACACTTAGGAATTCATTATTTTATATTCTATCTTCCATTTTTGGATGTTAGCTCATTAATAAACAATGCTTTAATAACTTATGTTCATCCCAATCTTTAAAGTCTTACTGTGAAACAGAAAGGTAGCAAGTCATGTGTCACAGAGGTTAATTAACTTATATAAGAACTGTCAATGGTAAAGCCAAAAAAGGAACTATGCATTTTGTATCTGTGGATGGTGACAAGTGCTCATGTTTATAAGTCTATCATTGTCATCATAGACTGTTCAGTCTCTTAACGTGGCTTCTGCGAGATAGGCTAATATCTGTTTTCATGCTATTTTATATTAGGATTTTGTTGTATGTGCAATTTATGTTTTGACTTATAGCTTTTTGGGCTCTATGCACTAGTGATGCTTGCAATAAAAGAATTCTAATGCATCACTTCTTAATGCTAATATGCATACTCATTTCTATTCCTTATTGCTAAACACATTTAGAATATTGTCTTAGATTCTCTAATGAGACTCTTTTAAATTGAAAGGGGTTTAGCAGGTAGAGAAGCTACATGATCAGATGAAGACAATATGGAGGAATCATCAAAACCAGATGTGTGTGAGAGAGTGAAATGCTGTAAGGCAAGCAAGAAGAGACTGATGCATGGGGAGCTTAGAGGGAACTGGACAGTGCCTGAGGCAACATGAAACAGATGGAGCTTTCTGCCAGGTGCAGTGAGAATGCACCCCAGACACTGTATGCACAGGTTTTAAAGATTCTGCACATGCATACTCTATTAAAAGGCAGGACATATTCCAACATCATAATTTGCCAAAGTAAAGTTGCCAGATAAAGAAATTAAATAGGTGGCATGTTCTAGGGTGTAAATTTCTTTGCCACTGCATCTTGGAGAGACAATATTTTTCTTTTCCTTGGCTTTAGTCCAGGCTCACTAATGTTAGTTGGCATTCTTGCTTCATTCAAGGACTCCTTCCACTTTGCTCAGGATAAGCAGAATCCACCTGGGCCACATAGATCATATATGGCCCTAATCTTAGATGGGCATGCCCCTCTGATTTTAATGATCAGAACTCTGGACCACGTCTCTACATCTGCAAAGCCACAGACTTTCTAATCATGAACAGAGACCAATTACTCCACCAGTCCTCTTTTTTGATCACATACTAAAGGCTATTAATTCTCCTAGAATTTATCCCATATTGTGTTAATATTAAGATAAAAAGAGTACTTGAAACAATGTGCTTTTCTTAAAATGATGACTGTAGGAAAATTCTGTTTCTAAAAATAAGTAGTATTTGGTAATAAAAGTATATATTTTTATTTTTAGATAAGTAATCACATAATATATACATCATAAATTTTTGTTCCACTACATTTAATAATTCTAAAAAGCTTAATGATTCTCAGTCTATTAACTTGAACTTAAATAGACAATAAAAGAAACCTCGTGACTAAACAGGTATGGGAACATGTGTTCCCTGGTTATGTTTTGTCTTCTAGGTCTTTGGGGGAATATTCAATTATTTAGTCATCAAAAATAAATAAAAGTTCCAGAAATGCTTTATATAAAACTATGCAATATCTTATATGTGGGAAGACTGGCTCATTATTGAAACTCACACACACAAATACACAGACACACACACACCCTGCTGCAGGATGGCAAAACACTTTCCTATGAAACACCCCCTGTATACATACATTATAACTTCTATCACAGTGCATTGCAATTTTTTTATTTGTCTGTTTTTCTTATTTTAATTTGATTCCCATAGATTTGGGAGTTTATTTTACTGTCCTTTATATCCTGAGAGTCCCACATGATGCATGGCACACAATAATAGATACTGAACAAACGCTGTTAACTGATAGGTTGAATGGATAAATCTTCATTGGAGTAGTTTGGTAAACAAATATACTTTAATGGTTCTAGAATCTCTAAAATGGGAGCTTTGAGTATGGTAATCTGGTGGAAAGGGTGAGCTGAGGACTTGTTGTGAAATTTTGTTTTGCCATTTATTTTACTTAGAAAGCATATTGTTTGGAGTGGCTAACTCCAGTGGCATGTTGCTTGGAGTGAAGAAACAGAGCTGAGGTTTCAAATATTTTGAACCAGTACTTCTCAATGTAATGGATAAAAAATTTTATAACACATTTCAGCTTTAAGTACTTTGGAAATTTTGCCTTGGGAAAGTTACAGAATCAAAGAAAAGTAATTATTGAATAATAAACAAAATATGTTAATTTTCTACATTTCTTAAAATAATTTTTGCATTATAAGGTCTCACTTACGTAAATGACAGAAACCCAATTCAATTTAAGCAGAGGAAGAACTTATTGATTCATGCCAGATAGCAGATCTAGTTTTAGAAATAGCTGAATTCAGGGATATAAATTTAAAGGTTTGTTCACCTATCATTTTGTCCAACTTACACTGTATTCACTTAGTTCCCAGACTGGTTCTACATACAAGTAACAAATACCTCAGCTAGCGCTAAGCTAACACACTTATTGCTATTAATGGAGCAAACCTTAATTTCAGAATCCTGGTGGAGGGACTCATTGGCTCAGCATAATCTTGTGCTCTCTCTGAACCAATCACATGGCTTTGGAAGCAGAAAAAAACATTATATAAAATGGTTACTTTTTCATTAACTACAACTCCTTGAAAATCAGATGATCAGACAAACAAAACAATGTGTTTCTTAGTGAATAACCTGATTCTGCTTGGTCCAAACCATCCTGAACCTGGAACTCTTACTGAGAAAAATTCTTTTTATAGGTAAACCAAATCTTCTCATTAACCTGGCCTGGATCATGTGCTTTTGTCAATGACTAGCGGTGGAAGGGGAATGTGCCGCACCTAAAACATGTGGAATTTGTTCTGTATAGAAAATAAGGTTCTAAAACAGGATAAAAAGGAAGGAAATCTTTGATTATGATGAGGCAAAATAAAAATTACAGATTATATACATATTTTTTGAGACGGAGTTTTGCTCTTGTTGCCCAGGCTGGAGTGCAATGGCGTGATCTCCAGCTCACTACAACCTCCGCCTCCTGGATTCAAGCAATTCTCCTGCCTCAGCCTCCCCAGTAGCTGGGATTACAGGCATGTGCCACCACACCTGGCTAATTTTGTATTTTTAGTAGAGACGGGGTTTCTCCATATTGGTCAGGGTGGTCTCAAACTCCCAAACTCAGGTGATCCGCCCACCTCGGCTTCCCAAAGTGCTGGGATTACAGGCGCGAGCCACATGCATTATAATTTTTATGATATAACTTATGCATGGTAATTTATATCATTCATTCATAATTTACTTAAAATATATATGTTACCTATCTACTTAGGGCCAATTATTTGAATGGACATTGGGTTACAAAAGGAAAAAGTCAAAGATCCTACATCCTCCAGCACTTACCTTTATACTTTGTTGTTTTCCTCTCATTCATTTCTCTTTTCTTGCTTAGTGATTCTTTGGCCTTTCTCACAGCTCCTGAGCTTTAATGCAAGATAAACGTTCTCTTTTTCTTAATTTCAGAATCCTGGTGAAGGGACTCATTGGCTCAGCATAATCTTGTGCTCTCTCTGGACCAATCACATGGCTTTGGAAGCAGAAAAAAACATTGTATAATATGGTTATTTTTTCATTAACTACAACTCCCTGAAAATCAGATGATCAGACAAACAATACAATGTGTTTCTTATGCATAAAAGCACTTTTTAGTATTGATGACATTGCTGTAGGTATCCATGGATCATAATGTGCTTGCACTGACGAAAAGCTCAGCTGTTCTCTGGTGAATGCACTCCATAAGATTACTATCTTGTCTCCATTCTCCCTGGTCAGAATTATTATTTGTTTAATAAAAGAAAAATAAAACAGAATAGCTCAAGGCATACATAGAGCAGATGTTTCCCTTGACCACATGATGAAACTGAGGTACAGTTGCCCAAACGTACCTATTTTATGGCAAAGCCAGTAATCGAAGCAAGTGCTGCTTTCTCTCTCAGAACCTGTTATCTCTTCTAAATCAGAGATTTTAAACTGGTAATTTACAAATACCTCTGAATTACAGTCATATTTTGTTTGGCCCACACATTGTTGTATCGGAGAGGATTTATTCTATTTATTTTGTTGAAGATTTTTTAAGAGTAAATTTAGGTTCAAAGTAAAATAGACAGGAAAGTACAGAGATTTCTCATGTGTTTCCTCCCCCAAAGGATGTGTAACTTCTCCCATATTCAACATCCTCCATCGAAGTGGTATCTTTGTTACAACTGACGAGCTTACACTGGTACATCATAATCACCTGGAGACTATAGTCCACATTAGAGTTCCCTCTGGTGTTCTGCATTATATGGGCTTGGAAAAATGTATAAAGATATGTATATACCATTATAGAATCATAAAGAATATTTTCACTGCGCTAAGAACTTTTTGTATTCTAACTATACATTCCTCTCTCTCGTTCCTGTCCCTTGATATTCACTAATCCTTTTCCTATCTCCACATTTTTCCCTTTTCAGAATGTCATAGTAGAAATCATGCAGTATATAATCTTTTCAGACTGACTTTTTTTCATTTAGTAATGTGTACTTAAGTTTCTTTGTTATTTTTTCACAGCATGATAGTTCATTTTTTTTAGCATTGAATAATATTCCATTGACAGGATGTACTAGAGTTTATTTATCCATTTACCTACTGAAGAACATCTTGGTGGCTTCCGTGTTTTGGCTATTATGATGAAAGCGGCTATAAATATCCATATGCAGGCTTTGTGTGGACATGTTTTCAACTCCTTTGGGTAAATATCAAAGACGATGATTGCTGCATTATATGTTAAGAGTACGTTTAGTTTTATAAGAAATGGCCCAGCTATATTTTGAAGTAGCTGTTCAATTTTGCATTCCCAGCAGATATGAATGAGAGTCGCTATCACTCCACATTCTCTCCAGCATTTGATGGTTTTGGTTTGGATTTTGAGCATTCTAATAGCAGTGTAATGTTATCTCTTTGTCATTTTAACTTGCATTTTCATGATGACAAATAACGTGGAGCATCTTTATGTATGTCTATTTGCCATTAGTATATCTTCTTTGATTATATTTCTGTTAAAATTTTGATGCACTTTCTAATAGGTTGTATGTTTTCTTACTGTTTTAGGAGTTCTTTGTGCATTTTGGATAACAGTCTTTTGTCAGATATGTCTTTTGCAAATATTTTCTTCCAGTATGTGGATTGTCTTTTTATTCTCTTGTGTCTTTCACAAAGCAGAAATTTTAATGAAGTCTAGTCTATCTGTTCTTATTTTCATGGATTGCTATGCTATCTAAACAATGTTGTGTGTAAAAAGTAATAGCCAAACCCAAGATCATCTGGAGTTTCTCCTATGTTATTTTCTAGGAGTTTCATTGTTTTGTATTTTGCATTTAGCTCTGGGAGCCATTTTGAGTTAATTTCTGCAGAGCATATAAGGTCTGAGTCAAGTTATTTTTTGGCATTGGATGTCCACTTGTCTCAGAACCATTTGTTTAAAAGATAATCTTTCCTCCATGGTATTACCTTTGCTTCTTTGTCAAAGATCAGTTGTCTATGATTATTTTGGTCCAGTTTTGGGCTCTTTGTTCGTTTCCATTGTTCTATGTGTTTATTTTTTTCACCAATACCACACCATCTTGATTACTATCATTTCATATTAAGTATTGAAGTCGAGTAATGTCAGTCCTCTAACTTTGTTCTCTTTTAAGATTGTGGTGACTATACTGTCTCTCTATATAAACTTTAGAATCAGTTTATCAATATCCAGTAAATAACTTGCTGGGATTTTGATTGAGATTGCATTGAATCTAGAGATTGAGTTGGGAAATACATCTGGACAATATTTCATTTTCTTATCCATGAACAAGGAATAGCTCTTCTTTTATTTAGTTCTGTAATGTCTTTCATCAGTGTTTTATAATTTTCTTCATTAAATCTTGTTAGATTTATAACTATTTTATTTTTGGGATTGTGAATATAAATGGTATTGTGATTTTAATTTCAAATTACACTTATTCATTGTTGGTATTGAAAAACAATCAACTTTCATATATCAACCTTGCATCCTACAACCTTTCTATAACTGCTTATTAGCTCCAATAATTTTTTGTTGATTCTTTTAGTTTTCCTAAAAAGACAATCATGTCATTTGTGTACGAAAACTTTTAATTATTCTTTCTTGATCAGTATACCGTTACTCCTTATACTTGTCTTGTTGAATTAGCTAAGATGTCCAGTGTGATGTTGAAAAACAGTGGTGAGGGGTTACATCCTTGCCTTCTTCCTGATGTTAGTGGAAAGCTTCCAGTTTCTCACTACTAAATTTGATAGATATTGGTGCTTTCTATATATTATTTGTTAAGTTGAATAAGCTCCCCTCTTTTCCTAGTGTACTGAGAGTTTTTATTCATGAATGGGTGTTGGATTTTTGTCAAATGCTTCTTCTACATCTATTAATATGATCATGTGATTTTTCCTTTTTAGCCTGCTGATATAATTGATTGCATTAATTGATTTTTGAATGTTGAATCAGCTTTGCATTCATTAGGTAAACCCCACTTGCTTGTGATATAGAATTTTTTAAAATATGTTTTGCGATTTGATTTGCTAATATTTTGTTAAGGATTTTTGCATTTGTGTTCAAGAAAGATATTGGCCTGTAGTTTTCTTTTCTTGTAAGTCTTTGTCACATTTTGGTACTAGAGTGATGTGGCCCCATAGAACAGTCAATGTTTCCTCTGCTTCTATCTTCTGAAAGAGATTATAGAAAATTGGTATGTTTTCTTGCTTAAACATTCGGTGGAATTCACCAATGTATCTACTGAGTCTAGTATTTTCTGTTTTGGAAGTTTATTTATCATTGATTCAATTTCTTTAACAGACATAGGCTGTTCACACAGTTTATGGGTTCTTATGTAAATTTGGGCAGATTGTGTCTCTCAATGAATTGGTTTCTTTCATGTATATTGTAAAATTTGGGGACATAGTGTTGTTTGCTGTATTATTTTATTATTTTTTTGTCTATGGAATCTATAGCAATGTCCTTTCTTTCATATCTGATATTCGTAATTTGTGTCCTCTATCTCTCTTAGTTTACCTAGCTACAGACTTATTAATTCTATTGATCTTTTCAAAGAACAAGCTTTTGGTATTGTGGATTTTCTCTAAGGATGTCTTATTTTCAATTTTATTAATTTTTGCTCTAATTTTTATTGCATTTTTCTGCTTAATTTAAGTTTAATTTTTTCTGCTTTTAAAATTTTTCCTAAGGTAGAAGCTTAGATAATTGATTTTAAATCTTCCTTATTTTCTAACATATGCATTCAATGCTATATGTTTCCCCATAAACACTGCTTTCACGATTTGCATCCCACAAGTCTTGAAAAGTTGTGTTTCTATTTTCATTTTGTTTAAAATATTTTTGAATTTCTCTTGAGTTTTTTTTCCTTCGGCTCTTGTTTAATCACCATGAATTTGGGGATTTTTCAGTTATCTTTCTGTTATTGATTTCCAGTTTAATTCCACTGTGGTCTAAGAGCAGACATTGCATGTTTTTATTATTTTAAATTTGTTACAGTGTGTTTTATGGCTGAAATATAGTTTATTTTCATGAAATTTTCATGGGAGCTTGAGAAAAATGTGTTTTCTGTTGTTGTTGGATGAGTTTGTTTATAGATGTCAATTATATTCAGGTGTACTGTTGAGTTTTTCTATGTCCTTACTGATTTTCTGCCTGATGGAGCTATATATGTGTGGTACAAGAGTGTTAAAATATCTGACTATAATAGTGGATTTATCTATTTCTTATTGAAGGTTGACCAGTTTTTGCTGCATATATTTTGATGCTCTGTTGTTAAGTGTATACATGTTAACTAGCGTTACATTTTCTTGAATAACTGCTCCATTTATCATTATGTAACATCCTTCTTTATCCTCAATAGCTCCCCTTGCTTTGAAGTCCACTCTGTCTGAAATTAATATAGCTAATTTTGCTTTCTTTTGATTACTATTAACATATTATATCTTTCTCCGTTACTTTTATTCTGTATGTGTCTTTAGATTTAAAGTGAGTCTTCTTGGATAGCTCTGCATTAATGAAACTCTTTCTCTACTACAATATTGCAGTCTCAATGACTGCAGCAGATGGGTGAACCCATTGGGTGATTACAGAAGTAACTGTATTAATAAATACAGATCCTTCAGATTATAATGTATTTCAGTCTCATGTGCTAAATTATCTGAAACTGAGGATGAGTAGACACCCAGCACTAAATGTATACTTCGCTAATATTAACCACAAATATTATATGGTTTAATTCAGAAAGTCTGGTTTTCCCTATCATTTCAATATTATCTCCTTTCTCTCATTCCTCCTCTTAACCAATTTAGCCATTAGGATTTATCAATTGAGTAGTCTTACTCCAGACATAAACTCAGGATATTGTGCTGTTCATATGTATCCTATGTGATTGACACCTACAGAGCACAATTACAGCATAAATAATGCCCATAAAATTGTGCAATGCAGTATCCCATGTTATAATCTAAAGAAAGTTTCTTAATACAGTTCAAAGATGTTTAGTTTATTGCAAAGGGTAAGTGAGTTTTCATAGGTGATAACACAAATACATCATGCTCTTATTCTTATTTCTGGCAAAAGAAAGCATGAAAGGATTTTCCAGAAATTATCCACAGGGATATAAAACTGCTGATAATATTAACTGTAAGGAATACAGATTTAAAAAAAATTTAGGGATGAGAAACTTCCCTTTACTATATTTTAGAAATGTTTTCCAATTCTCACCCTAAGTCTGAACTGTTCTGGTTCTGTCTCTGCATGTAAACTAGTTGCAAATAATTTTTGCAAAATGAGTGCAGCACATTCCTTATCGTTTGCTGTAAGTACATAGTTGTTGAGTTGGGCAATTTATTGTTACATTACTTAGCAAAACCACATTTATTGCCTATCTGAGATGAAAATCTACAGATAGTAGATTTAAAAATGGAATAGCTGGGTTAAAATTTTTGTATATTTTATTTAAAATTTTGATACATACTACTAAAATATTTTCCCAAAAGCCTTCAACAAATTATATTTTACCAACATTGTAAGAGACTCTCCATTTTCTCATGTCCTTACAAATCTTTGATGTTATTAAAAATACAATGTTTTTTCTAAATTGACTGGCAAATATTGGATGCTATTTATATGCTAATTTGTATTTCCTTGACTAGCTTAAGACTGAACCTCTTTTCATGTTTCTTGTCTGTGTTTGTGTTTCTTTTGTGGGTGGTCTATTTTTATCCTTTTTCATTTCAAAAGATGTTGTTAGTCTTCCTCTTTTTGACATAAGAAACACTAGATGTATCAAATTTGGGAATGCCTTCCCTCTGCATGAGATACTTATTTTGATCATTTCAATGGTAATAAAATGGTAATTAAAGGTTCTAATGAGACATAGGCAGTTTGGATTAATTATCTTCATTTTAATTATAATGCTAACAGCTAGTCAAATATCACTTTTATTTTCTCACCCCTTCATCAGTCCAGGTATTCTCTGTCCTCTGCAAACTGGTGGTAATGTCCTTTGGTGATAGTTTTGCAAATATTGCGGTGGGTGAGGAAGTGAAACTTCCTGCAAACTGGTAGTAATCTCCTTTGGTGATAACTTAGCAAATGTTGTGATGGTGGAGAAAGTAAACTACTGTTTTTGTTTTTGTTAAATATCAAATGAAGACCCCATTATGATCCTTTAATTTTACTTATTTTGGTCTCTTAATATTTTCTAGATGCACAATAAGGAGTAAGTATGGTTTCTTATCAAAGAGGGCTTTACCAGGTGATTTGCAGACAATTAAGGTTTTTGCCTTTGAGGTCGGTATCTATCTTTCTCTGATAATGGCCTTTTATTGATTTTGGGATATCTTGTTTAATAAGAGCAGATAATAATCGCATTCTATTAATCATTTCAGCTTTTGTGAAAGAAAACTTCATTATGTGGTTTTTCTGATTCTCAGGCCATGTTTAGGAGATTTTCATAAGTCTGTCATCCCATTGCTTTTCTTGTATACCAGGCTAGAAAATTTTTATAATATGATTTACAATTTTTTTCTATCTCTTCCTACTTCTTAATTCTGTGCTTTCTTTAACTGCAAAATTTTTAGTTTTACTCATCAATTCATAGAGCATTTAAGTAATTAGGCCTTTTGCCACATTGATAACAAACCAGATTTAGTCTTCACCAGGACCATAATTTGTTTTAAAACTGCAGTCCCATCAAACTGTAGTACTACTTTAATGAAGTTCATAGAAATGTACCAGAATCCTTAGGATGTTGCTTCACCAGCTAGAAACCCCGTGGCCAGCAGCACCTCTGCTTGAGTTGCTTGCACCTGCTGGGCTCGTTCCACCTGCTTGGCTCAGTAGGCTGCAATTGGCTCATGCTACCAGCTCTATTCCACTCCTGCCAAGTGCAAGCCAGGCATGAAGTGGTGAGGGGTGTGTGAGTGAGCAAGCACACAGCGGGGCAGGCAGGTCCAGGCACTGACACAGGCACCAGCTCTGTACAAGTCTGTGGCTAGACCAGATACACCACAACTGGCTTCCACAACTGGCACCAGTGTCTGGATGAGGCGAATGTAATGGCACCCAAAAGCTTGGAGATCCCAGGAACTGCAGAGCCCCAAAGAGGATGTTACAGCATATCCTAGCCCTACCTCAGGGAGCCCTCAGATCTAGGCTCCCAATAAGGCCACAGTTCTTCTCTCCTTCTTGTCATGCACAGAGCAGTGAACAAGGAGGTGAATTTTGGAGGGAATGTTTTAGCTCCTTTGTGTTACAGCTCTTTCAGTCATGCTGCCTCATTCTGGCCCACAGCTCATAGGCTGGCCTGGCCCCGCTGCTGCTTCCCATTGCATGGGATAGCTGCCTGTGCTGGTGGAGGGTGGGAGGGCTATAGTGTTACAGCAACTGTGGCTTGGGGAATCCTGAGGTCTGGACGCCCAGAAGGGTTGTCACTCTTTATTTCCACAGTCCGGGAGCATGTAACCACCCCCAGCTCAGTGAGGCAGCTAGGAACATGTTATAGCTCCTTTAGTTCCTGCTGTTTGATGGGTCCCAAGTTGTTGTCCCATGTCCAAGAAAAATGAGGATATGTGGAAAAGAAGAGGGTGAGCTAGGCAGAGAGGAACTTTATTAAGCAACAGAACAGCTCTCAGGAGACCCAAAGTGGGTAGCTTATTTCTGCAGGCAAGTCATCCTGACAAGTCTTGAGGAGACCCAAAGTGAGTAGCTCCTATCTGCAGGCAGGTTGTTCCAAAAAGTATGTGAATCTGGCTGAGTCTGGGGTTTTTATGTGCTCAGATGGGAGGAAGTGTGTCTGGCTAGTTCATGGGTGGCCACCAGTGGGCCAGGAAAAAAACCATAAGTTCTCACTCTGGGTTGTTGTCTCCACCCAGAACTGGCAGCCCGATCACAGGCATCGGGCTATCCCCGGCTTGAAGGTGGGATTTCACTGGATACCTGCCCCTTCCTGGCTACAAACTTGCCCCCTGTCGACATCAACATGCCATCTGCTGCTCCCAGGCTGTCCACACTGAGGGGTGACTGCAGGCCATCACCAAGTCATCCTCAGCCCCCTTGAGATCCGTCACTGAGCTTGTAAGCACCCAAAGTTCCACAGGGGTCTGAGATGGTGGGAGAGCTGAGGTGTCAGCGATGCCCCATGCATGTGCACACCCAGCTGAGTTGTAACAGTACCCAGGCTTTTCCACAGCTTTGCTCCACACCAGAGCAGGTGCTGGGAGCAGGAAGTGGCCAGGGAGTGGGAGTAGGCACTTCCAAGCCTGAGGGGGCAAGGGGCTTCCTGGGCCCTTGAGAGCGCAGGGATGTCCAGAGCCATGGCTGGGCTGCAGCTGTGCCCAGGAACATTGGGCTCCCACCCCACCAACTGGGTAAGGGGTGGGCTCCCATCTGTTCCCGGCCCCCATCGGCTCCACAGCCCAACTGTGATTCCCCACTGTAGCTGGCATACTCACAGCAGCTGCTCCAGAAGAGCCACCGCCATCATCTGAAAGACATTCTAAACATGAAGCTAGATTAGGAAGTATGATATATGCTGAAGTTTATTTTGTCTCTAATTATCCAAATAAAGTTATTTTTTTAATTTGAAAAATTATTTACAGACAAAATAAAAGGGTTATTTTGAGCATAATTACATATTTTCTTTAAAAATTGTCTTGTCTTGAGTAGGTTATATAATGCTTTTTAGTTGTTCTTAATTTATTAGTAAGAATACTTGCTCTGAAGTCTTCTTTTTGACACTATTTCACATTTTTTATAGAAGCCTGGATTAGAACCAATTCACCATTTATAGAGTGAGTGATTGATTTGAAGACTAAAAATCATTGATTAACGAGCATTTGCTTTATAATAGTCACTCTGCTAAATACTTTTGTACATAATGTTCCTGAATCCTTGCGGAAACCCCATGGAGTACATATTATTATTTCTGTCCTACAGATGAAGAAACTAAGGTACAGGCAAGTAAAATTGCTTGCTATGGTCTCATAGCTAATAAAGAGTTTCTCCATTTGATTTCCATTCTTTTTTTCTTTACTGGCGGGTATTATTTCTTCCTGGCTTAGAAGAACTATAATAGACATATGCTATGACAAAAGAGATCCTCTTGTATTCAGGTGGTCTCAATTTTCTCCATCTTCCAAATTAGAAACACCATTTATGGTTTATATCAAATTAGACTTTTTTAATGGTAAAAAGTGCTATTTGCTCTAGCATAATCTATATTATTTACCTAAACTTTTGTGTAAGTAATGTCTATCAGACAATCACTGATAGACATTCCTATCTATATATAAAGTTAAAAGGTAAATTACTTAAATTAGAAAATAATATCAGTTTTTTAAAATTTTAATGATATGATGTGTGATATAATATAATGCATGCTATTTATAAACAGTATTTATAACAATACATAATATATGTCTTATATAACTATAAATAAAATGTAAAGTTTAAACATTGTATATATGTCAAATATACATATTATATTTTAACAAAAGTCTATGCTTAATTCTATATACTGTATTTTAAAAGTATTGAGGTAAAAACATCAGAAATTAATTTCTTGCTAAATTATATATTTTTGTGTTGGAGATACCTATCACTTTCTCTGTTTCTTATGAAGATTCTTTTTAAAATATTTTAAATGATTTGCCATGAGACACAGGTGATCTATATCAGAGTGGAACAAAGGATTATTTCTTTGACAATTGAATGGCTTAGAAAGTAACAGGAGTTTAGATCACCAATCTCCAGAGCAAAAAGACAATAGAATTTTGTTACTAATATTGAGCGTGTTCATAGTGTAGGCCTTTCCAACCATCACCATAAATGATCCACAGTAAGAGAAAGAAGATAGGAAGAAAGGCAGAAAAAAAATATGTTTTTTGGAAAAATAAAATAATGAGTGATTTTTTTTTTTACTGGAATATGGGTTTACGTGTTGAAAGGATTTTTAAAGTTCTCAAATGTAGCATTTTATTGTTCCAGAGATTTCTATTCTGTATAAATAATTTACATACACTCTGTAAAAATATATTGGCTGCATACTTACAACAGAAACTGTTTTAGTGGTTTATTTTAGAGTTGAATCTTTATTTATTTATATTTTTTGCTTTTATCCCTTTCTGGGGGAGATTTCATGCTTTCAGATTCACTTCTGAGGAAATTATGGTCACTTGCACAACAATTTCTACCCTTTATATCCTCAGCCAATTCCTCCTGTTAATAAGAAATAAATCACAAATTTTATTTATTGTATTATATTGTTTGACTTCCTGTGATTAAAAAATCTTTCTATTAACGTAAGGTAGAGCATTTTGTTGGTCTTTGGCTTACTATATCAGAGTTCCGTCATGAAACCTTTGTAGTAAGTAGGTAAACAAGGGCATGTTAAATTATTTTACCAATTGAATGCATATATAACACTCAGTTTAATTCAGTAAGACATTAAATTGTTTTGGGGACTTCTAAGCATCTTCCCTTACATTCTTCATGCTATATTTTATCAACCTTTTAGGTTTTACAGTATGCATATTTTGAATTTAATCAGCTTTACTTGATATACTTTACATACAATAGATTGTAACAACAAAAGTGAACCATTTGATGACTTTTGACAGTTTTAAAACCACCTTCTCAGTCAAGACACAGAACATTTCCATCACTCTCAAAACATTTATTAAGTCCCATTATAGCAATCCCTTCCTCTGCTTGTGATGCAGACAACTGTTGATTTGCTTTATATCACTGTAGAATATGTAATGCTTTCTAGAATTTTATAAAAATAAAACTATACAAGACACACTCTTTTGTGCCTGGGTTCTTTCACGCAGTGCTATTAAGATTCATCCACACTGGCCGGGTGTGGTGGCTCACGCCTGTAATCCCAGAACTTTGGGAGGCCAAGGCAGGTGGATCACGAGATCAGGAGATTGAGACCATCCTGGCTAACACGGTGAAAGCATGTCTTTACTAAAAATACAAAAAAATTAGCCAGGCGTGGTGGCGGGTCCCTGTAGTCCAGCTACTCAGGAGGCTGAGGCAGGAGAATGGTGTGAAGAGCTTGCAGTGAGCCAAGATCCCGCCACAGCATTCCAGCCTGGGCAACAGAGTAAGACTCCATCTCAAAAAAAAAAAAATAAAAATAAAGATAAAAAATAAAAAGATTCATCCGAACTGCATAACTTCGCACATATAAATAATGTTATTTTTGTATTGTTGAGTAATATTCCATTTTGTAGAGGTACCACATTTTGATTATCCTTCTACCTGTTTACGAACATTTGTATTCTTTTTAATTTGAGGGTTATTAATAATAAATTTTATAAATATTCCTGAACAAGAAGACATATTTTTATTTCTCTTAGGTAAATACATAGAGTGGAATGTCTGGGTGTAAAAAAGGTATATGTCTAATTTTTTTTTTAAACTACCAAACAGTTTTCCAAAACAGTCATACCATTTTTAATTCCTATCAATAGTGTGGGGTAGATTGAAATGTGATATGAAATAGCAGTTCTCTTTACTTTATATCCTCACCAACACTTGTTATGCCAGTCTTTTTAATTTTAGTAATTTTAGTAAGTGTGTAATGTGTAGGCTACACTTACATGGTCAGTAAACACTAATGCTTAAAGGTTTGCGTATGTGTTTTTATGTATGTGCTTGTGTATTTGGAAAAAAAAGTGTACATAAAACTACTAAATTTAGTGATCATCATGTTCATATTGGAATATCTTTATTATTCTGTACATTAGCAACTGTTCAAATATTTATCCCATTTTTTACTGGGTTGCTTTTTTCTTATTATTGAATCTGAGTGTTCTTTATATACCCTTAGACATAAGTTTGAGATTTGCATTTTTATTTTCTTAGTAGCAACTTTAAATAAATTTTCAATGTTAATGAAGTAAAACGTATTAAATTTTTAATTGTTTGTACTTTTTATGTCCTATTAAGAAAATATCTGCTTTGAATTGCAAAAAAAAATTTGTTTTATTTTATAATTAAAAATTTTAGATATTACATGTAAACATATAATGCTTTTGATTTGATATTTATCTTTGGATAAAATAAGGATTGATGTACATTTTCAATATGGACATCCAGTGTCCTAATGCCCGTTATTGCAAAACTTTGTCTATACTAACTTAACATCCTATCCAAAATCAAACATAACAATTTGTACACACAGACACATAGGCACACACATCATTTTTCATTTATTAAAAATGATTTCCATCCTGATGATTTTTATGTCTGTTTTTACACTGTAATGGCAGTGTTTTTACTACTGTAGTTGTATATTTAGTCTGCAAACCTATAATTGTAATTCCTTCAACTTTGTTCTTCTCTTTTAAAACTAATTCAGTCATTCCAGATCACTTGCATTTATATACAAATTTTAAAATTACTTGTCCATTTATGTAGAAAATCTTTTGATATTTTAGTTAGGAATGCATAGCTTCTCTAGACCAAGTTAATAAAACTTGACATCTTAACTACACACAATATTTCAATCCACTAAAATGGTGTATTTATTTATTTTGATGTTTAAGTTCTCCCATCAATGTCCTTAAATGCTTAGTGACATTGTTTAGAACATATTTTGCTATGTTTATTCCTAAGAATTGTATGCTTGTTAGCCCTATTGCAAAGGTAAATACAAATGTAATGTTGTAAGTGTCTCACGTGTCCGTGTGAAGAGACCACCAAACAGGCTTTGTGTGAGCAACAAGGCTGTTTATTTCACCTGGGTGCACTGCAGGCAGGCTGAGTCTGAAAAGGGAGTCAGCGAAGGGAGATGGGATTATCATTAGTTCTTATTGGTTTTGGGAATCGGCTGTGGAGTTAGGAGCAATGTTTTGTGGGCAGGGGATGGATCTCACACAGTACATTCTCAAGGGTGGGGAGAATTACAAAGAACCTTCTTAAGGGTGGGGGAGATTACAAAGTACATTGATCAGTTAGGGTGGGGCAGAAACAAATCACAATGGTGGAATGTCATCAGTTAAGGCTATTTTCACTTCTTTTGTGAATTTTCAGTTGCTTCAGGCCACCTGGATGTACACATGCAGGTCAAAAGGAATATAATGGCTTAGCTTGGGCTCAGAGGCCTGACAGTAAGATTCAGTTTTTTCAAATATTTGCTATTAATGTATAGAAATACATTATTTTTGTATATTAGACTTGGATCTTTCAACTTTACTAAATTTCTTTAGTAGTTTTTATACTTTTGTTGATTTCTTAGGATTTCATATTCAATAATCATGTCATTTGAAAATGTAGACAGTGTTAATTCTTTCTAATCTGAGTGACTTATTTTTTGTTTGCCTTATTGTTTTGGTTTGGTTCTTCAGTAAAAGATTTTTAAAAAGTGGTGAATTCAGGGATTCGGCCTTTTTTTTTTAAGATAGCGTTTAATATTTTACTCTTAAATATCTTGTCAACTGTAGGCTTTTCATGGATGCCCCTATCAAAGTAAGGGATGAGTTTTTAGATTTACTTCGCTGAGAGGTTTTTTAAAAAAATTATGAATAGGTGATGAATTTTGTTAAATTCTTTTCTCTTCATTAATAAAATTTATCTTAAAATTTGACTTTTTTTGACATTGACAGGGAGGATTATATTGATTGAGATTCAGATGTTAAGCCAACCTTGTACTAATAAAAGATGCCGTAATTGGTTATGATGCCTTATCATTAGAAAATACTGCTTGGTTTCATTTATTAATATTTTGCAAATTTTTCGTCTATGTTCAGGGACAGCATTTTTAAAAGTTTTAGATTTTTTTCTGAATTTGGTATTAGATGATGCTGATTTATCAAGCAGATGGAAAGTGTTCCCTTGCCATCTATTTTCTGATAGAGTTTACATAAATTTTGCATTATCTCTTCTTTGAATGTGTAATTGAATTTGCCAGTGAAACAACCAAAACCTAGAGTTTTCTTGATTTGAAGAATTTTGTAAATGAATATAATTTCTTGATTAGATGGTGAACTATATTATTTGTTACTTTATTTTGTGGCAATTTTGTAAACTTGTATTTTTCAAGAAAATTTTCTGTATCATCTAAGTTTTCAAATTTATTGGCAGAAAGTTGCTTTTAATAACCTTGTGGTATCTTTTTACAATTTTTATTGTAGTAAAATACACATAACATAAAATTTACTGTCTTAACCATATTTAAGTATACAGTTCAGTGGTATTAAGTATAGTTATACTATTGTGCAATTATCATGACCATTATTCACTAAACTCTTTCATCTTCCAAAAATTAAACTCTATACCGATTAAACAACAACTCTTCATTCTGCCTTACTTCAGCTGCTAGCAACTGCTATTCTACTTTCTTTGTCTACAATTTTGGCTACTCTAAGTACCACTTATCAGTAGACTCATTCACTATTTGTGTATTGGGGACAAGCGTATTTAATTTAACATAATGTTCTCAAAATTCATCCATGTTAGAATGTGTCAGAATTTCTTTTCAACACTGCATAAATCTATTGTATGTATGTATACCATTTTGCTTGTCTATTCATTTTTCAATGGATGCTTCAATTGCTTCTACGTTTTAACTATCACAACTAAAGCTGCTATGAACATAGGTGTACAAATATCTCTTTGAGATTCCGCTTTCAATGCTTCTGAGTATATACCCAGAAATGAAATTGCCAAATCATATGGTAATTCTATTTTTATTTTTGTTTATTTTTTGTTGAACTACCATACTGTTTTTCACAGCAGCTATACCATCTTACACTCCCAAGACGATGCAAGTGTTCTGATTTAACATCTTCACCAACACTTGTTATTTTTTTATAATAGCCATTCTAATGGGTGTGAGGTGATGTTTCATTATAGATTTGCATTTCCCTAAAGATTAGTGATGTTGAGCATCTTTTCATCTGCTTATTGACCATTTGTATGTCCTCTTTGGAAAAATGTCTATTTGAGTCCTTGGTCCATTTTTGAGTTGTGTTCTTTGTTTTTTTTGTTTGTTTGTTTTGTTTCTTGTTGTTGTTGTTAAATTGTAGAACTTTCCCATATATTCTGGATATTAATCTTTTACCAGATATGTTTTATAAACATTTTATCCAATTTTGTTGGATGTATTTTTTGCTCTGTTGATAGTGCCTTTTGTTGGAAAATTAGAATTTGTATGAAGTGCAACTTGTGTATTTTTTCTTTCTTTGCCTGCATCTTTGGTTTTATATCTAAGAAAACACTGCAAGGTTTGATATTGCAAAGGTATTTTTTTTCCTATGTTATCTTCTAAGAGTGTTGTAGTTTTAGGTCTTACATTTAGGACATGAATTCATTTTAGTCAGTTTTTGCATATGGTTTTAGGTAAGGGTTGAACTTTATTCTTTTTCATATGGATATGCAGTTTTCTCAGAATTTATTGAAAAAACTGTCTTTTTTTCCCCCATCGAGTGGTCCTGCTACTGTCGTTGAAAAACCTTTGGCCATATCTGTCAGGGTTTATTTCTGGGCTCTTTATGTCTTTATATCTGCCTTTATGCCAGTACTACACTGTTGTGATTACTGTAACTTTGTGTTAAATTTTGAAGTCAGAAAGAAGGAGACCTCCAACTTTGTTCTTCTCTTTTAGGACTGTTTTTGCTACTCAGGGTCCTTTGTATTTCATGTGAATTTTCAGATTTTTTTATGAATCTTGCAGAAAATGTCTTTGGGATTTTGACAGATATTGAATTATATCTGTAGATTGCTTTGGATATTATTGATATCCAGACAATATTGAGTCTTTCAATCCATAAACTTGGCATGTTATTCCATTTATAAGTGTCTTTTAAAATTTCTTTTAGCAAATGTTGTATGGTTTTGTTGTATAGTTTTTTACCTCCTTGATTAAGTTAATTCCTAAGTATTTTAATCTTTTTTGTTGTTGCAAAAGGGATAGTTTTCTTAATTTCCTTTGGGGACTGTTTATTGCTGGTATATAGAAATCCAAATGATTTTTACATCTCAACTTTACATCCTGCTACTTTGCTGAATTGAATTCATTCATTAATTCTAATAGCTTTTTTTGTGAAATCTTTAGGGTTTTCTAGATATTAAATTATGTCATGGAAAATAGAGATGATTTTACTTCTTTATTTTCAGTTTGGATACTTGTTATATATAGTTTATATAATATATATAGTTTATATATATGCTTAATTGCTCTATCTAGGACATACAGGACTATGTTGAAGAGGGTATTCCTGCATTGTTTCTGATGTTAGAGGGAAAACTTTCCATCTTTCAATATTAAGTATAATGTTTACTATGAATTTTTCATATGTAAATTGAAGTAGTTCCCTTCTACTTTTTAAAGTATTTTTATCATGAAAATATGTTGAATATTATAGATTTTTTCTGCATCAATTAAGATAATCAAAATTTTTTCCTTTGTTTTGTTAATATTGTGTATTACATTAATCAATGTTTATATGTAGAACCATTCTTCCATTCCAGAAATAACTTCACTTGGTCGTGGTGTATAGTCCTTTTAATATGCTGATAAAGTTTGTTTGCTAGTATTTTGTTGATTATTACATCGATACTCCTGTAGGTTATTGTTCTGTAATTTATTTTTTTCTTATAGTGTCTTTGTGTGGTTTTGGTATCAGAGTAAGGCTGATCTCATTGATGAGTTAGGAAGTCTTCCCCTTTGGAATTATTTCTGGAAAACTGGAGGTGATTGGCATTTATTCTTTAAATGCTTGATAGAATTCACAGTGAAGTTATCTGGTCCTGGGCTGCTTTTTTTTTTTTTTTTTTGAGGGGGTGTCCTAGGAGAGATTTTTGAATGCTGATTTAATCTACTTACTCATAGGTCTGCTTATATTTTTTATTTCTATGTGGTTTACTCTTAGTAAGTTTTGTGTTTTCTAGGAATGTTTGTACTTTTTCTAAATTATCTAATTTGTTGATGTGCAATTGCTCATAATGTTCTTTTACCATCTTTATTAGGTGTGTAGAACAGGTCAATAATGTCTCCACATTCATTTCTAATTTTAGTAATTCAAATCATTTCTCTTTCTCATAGTCCATTTAGCTAAAGATTGGTCAATTTTTTTGATCTCTTTGAAGAACCATCTTTCAGTTTTGTTGGTTTTCTCTATTGCTTTTTAATTCTCAATTTATGTCTGCTCTAATTTTTATTGGTTTCTTCCTCCTGCTAGCTTTGGGTTAAGTTTTTTTTCTTTTTCTAGTTCCAGAGTTGTAAAGTTAGGTTACTGAAGTGAAATTTTTTTTTTAATGTAAACATTTATAGCTATAACTTTCTCACAGTACTGCTTTCACTGAGTCACATACATTTTGATATGTTGTGTTTTTGTTTTCATTTTTCTCTAGGTATTTGGTAAATCTTCTTGTGATTTTTTAATCCATTGGTTATTTAAGAGTGTGTTGTTTAATTTCCACAAATTTGTGAATTTTTCTGCTTTTATTTGGCTTTAATTTTTTTTTTTAATTTTTTTTTTTATTTTTTTGAAACAGAGTCTGGCGCTGTTGCCCAGGCTGGAGCGCGGTGGCGCAATCTCGGCTCACTGCAAGCTCCGCCTCCAGGGTTCAGGCCATTCTCCTGCCTCAGCCTCCCGAGTAACTGGGACTACAGGCGCCCGCCACTACGCCTGACTAATTTTTTGTATTTTTAGTAGAGACAGGTTTTCACCATGTTAGCCAGGATGATCTCGATCTCCTGACCTCGTGATTCACCCGCCTCGGCCTCCCAAAGTGCTGGGATTACAGGCGTGAGCCACCGGGCCCAGCCTTGGTTTTTGATTTCTAACTTCATCATATTGTGGTCAGAAAAAATACTTTCTATGATATCTATCTTTTAAATCTATTGAGAGTTAATCTGCAGACTAACATATGGTCTATCCTGGAAATTGTCCCATGTGGACTTGAATGTATGCTCTGCTATTGTTGAATAGATTGTTCTGTATATCTCTGTTGGATCTGGTTGGTTTATTTTGTTGTTCAACTCCTTAATTTCTTACTTATCTTCTGTGTGGTTGCTCTACTCTTATTGAGTGTGGGTTGGTGAAGTCTCTAATTATTATTGTAGAAAAGTATATTTTCCTCTTCAATTCTGCCAATTTTTGCTTCATATATTTTGATGACCTGTTGTTGTGTGTAAATGTGTATGATTGTTATATGTTTTTTATTTATTGAAACTTTTAATAATATATAAATAAAAGATTAGTATTCTTCATTGTCTCCTGTAAACTTTTTTTTTGACTTAACGTCTATTTTGTCTGATACTAACATAGCCACTGCTGATCTGTTTTGATTACTATTTAAATAAAATTTTTTTTTCATCCTTTCAATTTATGGTACAGGCCTTACCTGGAAGTTACAAGCCTTCAATAGACTCTAGAATTCCAAAATTGTTGCATTGAACAGATTCTGACAGTGCACTTGTCTAGATAGTGTGTGTAGGTTTCTGGTGCTTCCTGCTTCCTACACTGTCATCCTGCCCAGAATCCTTCTTTTCTCTTGTTATCTTTTTTTTTTTTTTTTTGAGACGGAGTTTCGCTCTGACGCCCAGGCTGGAGTGCAATGGCGCCATCTCCGCTTGCTGCAAGCTCAGCCTCCAGGGTTCACACCATTCTCCTACCTCAGCCTCCCAAGCAGCGGGGACTGCAGGCGCCCGCCGCCACTCCTGGCTAATTTTTTGTATTTTAGTGGAGACGCGGTTTCATCATGTTAGCCAGGATGGTCTCGATCTCCTGACCTCGTGATACACCCACCTCGGCCTCCCAAAGTGCTGGGATTACAGACGTGAGCCACCGCGCCTGGCATTCTCTTGTTACCTTTTTAATCCCTGTCAGATCTGCAGTGGGACTATTTTATTCCTGATATTGATGATTTGTTGAATCTCTCCCCGTTTCCTTTTTATTCATCTAACAGAGGGTTTGTTAATTTTTAATTTTAAAAACCTAGATTTGGGCTTTGGTCATTTTTTCTATTGTCTGTTTTTTATTAATTTCTTCTTTGATGTTTATAATTTACTTTCCTCTACTTTGTTTTTTCAATATTTTACTTGCTTTTAGTTTAAAAATACATCATTTTAAAACATTTCTTATTTTCTAATATAAACATTTAAAAATATATGCTTTTTCTATGCATAGATTAGCTGCATTCCACACATTTTTACATGATGTATTTTCATTGTAATTCAATTCTAAATAATTTTCTATTTTTTTCTACTTTCCTCCACGAATATGAATCATTTAGAGATGTGATTAATTTCCATATATTTGGTCTTTTTCTAAATATTTTATTATTTTAATTTTTAGTTTAATTTCATTTTGGTTCTCTTTTCTATTTTGGTCTTTTAAAATTTGTTAAGACAGTTTATGGCCAGCTTGTAAACTATATTGAAAATAATATGTATTCTGTTGTTGTTAAGGGTGGTCTGCTATAAATATCAAGTCTACCTAGTAGGGCTGTATCAGATATTCTTTCTCTTTACTGATCATTTTTGTATTATTATTCTATCAATGGTTGTTGAGAAGGATGCTAAAATGATATTTGTGAAATTCTTCGATTCTGTCTTCAATTCTGTAAATTTTTGCTTTGAATACTCAAATAACCCAAGGCCCTGTTATTAGGCAAAAGCACATTTAGGAATGTTATGTCTTCCTAATGAATTTGTGCTATTTATTTATTTATTTATTGAGAGTGTCTTGCTCTGTTGCCAAGCCTGGAGTGCAGTGGTGCAGTCATAGCTCATTATAACCTCAGACTCTTGGGCTCAGGTCATCCTCCCACCTCAGCTTTCTGAGCAGCTAGGACTATGGGCTCACACCACCATGCACATCTAATTTTTAAAGTTTTGGCAGATATAGGGTCTTGCCATTTTGCACAGGCAGGTCTTGAACTCCCAGCCTCAAACAACCCTTCCATCTTGGCTTCGCAAAGCACTGGGATTAAAAGTGTGAGACAGCAAAGACTACACCTTTATTGTTACAAAAAATGTCTCTCATTTTTGAACAATCATCATTGTATTTGTATTTGAATTATTTAACTATTTAATTATTATTTAAATTAACTTGGCACTTAATTTAATTACCAAACCCTCAATTACGTTTGCACCAACCAATCTAATATATTATAGAATTTTTTTCTATCTATTGTCTGTTTATAATATGCTCTGGTATTAAAATGCTTATTTTCATCTGTTTACAGCTCAAGTTAATATTTTGTCACTTTATGTAAAATGTTAAAACCTTGTAACCACAAGGGTCTACTTATTTTTTTCTTATTATTAATGGGATAGTTGTCATATTTATTATATCCGTAAGACAATGTTATAATTTTAGCCTTGAATAATTCTTTGTACTTCAGATCTTTTGGAAGATAAAGTTGCATCTTTAATTTTTTCCCAGATATTTATCATTTTTAATATTCTTTCTTCTTTCCTGAAGATCCGTGATTCCATTTGGTATCACTTTTAGCCTGAAAAACACCCTTTAGCATTTTTATAGTGCCATTGTATTAGCAATAAAATCTCTCAATTTTTCATCTTTAAAAATTGTCATTATTTTATCTTCATTCAAGAAGGATATTTTCACTGGTTATAAAATTTGAGGTCAAAGGTATATTCTCTCAGTACTTAAAGATATTAGTTCTCTTTTTTGCTTCTGCAGTCTCTTCTATGGCCACTTTAATATTTTCTTACTTTATGTGATATTCATTTTTCTCTAGGTTCTTTCAAGTTTTCTTTACATCCATAGTTTTAGTGGTTTAACTATAACGTATCCTGGCATAATTTTCTGTGTATTCTGTTTGAAGTTCACTAAGATTTTAAAATCTGTAATTTTATATGTTTCACTCAAATTGGGAAGTTTTTGTCATTATTGCTTCAAAATCTTTTTCTACTCCTTTCTGGCCCTATTTCCTTTTGAGATTCCAATTACCTTTTTGTTTGTTCCATTTCTTTAAATTTTCTTATAAGTAATAAGGGTATACATTTTCCCTCTCATCTCCAGATTACATAATTTCCATTTATCTATCTTCAGTTTTGATTATTATTTACTCTTTCATCTCCATTCTGCTATTAAGCCTATATAGTGAATTATCTTATTTCATATATTTTCAATTATAAAATTTTCTTTCTCTATAATGCCATTTTCTGTTGAGATTTCTTATCTTTTCATTCATTATAAATAAGTTTTCTTTAGAGTCATTGATCAGTTCATACTCTCTGCTTTGCAGATTTTGCCTGAGATTTCTAATATCTGAGTCACCTCTACATTGCTATCCATTGTCTTTTTCTTTGAGAATGGGTCATGTTTTGTCTCTTCATATGTCAAGTAATTTTGGATGGCATTTTGCTTATTTTTAGTGTTCCATTGTTCAGACTGTAATTATTTTATATATTGCAGAAATAATTTTAAGTGTTTGTTTTAGTGTGCATTGAACTTCATTAAAATAGAGCTATCCAGTCTGTGGTGAGTTGTGACTCGGATGACTTTTCAAACTGCTTCAAGTTTGCTCTGCATATATTTCAAGTTTGCTCTGCTGAGCCATCAATCAGTAACTGGAGCAGAGTTACTGCACAAATAACTATGGGTTCCCTTCTATGGCTCTCTCCTTTCTAGGGCTCCTCCTCATTCTCTTATTACCCTGTTTGCCCCAGGATCCTTTCCTTGGTTTTTCCAACCAGACATAAATTAAACTTTCTCTTTTAATTTTAGCTATCCAATGCTGCTGATCATTGCTGATGCTCTAAGCTCAAAGCAACATACAGAAAACTTAGTTTTTACAGGTCACTTCTTCAAAGTTTTAAATTCCTACTAAAATCTTCCTGCTTTGTTTCCCTTCCAGAATTCTCAGATTTTTTTTTTTTTTTTCAGGACTAATCGTTTTATCTTCAGGAGGGCCAGCTTATTAGGTGCTTACTTTTCCATGAGAAGAACAACTGTAAACCCATGGATGTCACAATTTTGGAAGTATTAAAAGAAAGAAAACAATGTTAAACAAGGTAATAATAATAGTTATAATAATAATAATACCACTTATGCCATGTAGAAAAATTTCAGAAAGCCTATAAAAGCATCTACACTATTCACTTGATCATCTTTTTCTTTTATTTTGAATAGATTACATTTACATTTCTGCTGTGATTGTTTTCCTGTACACAGAAAGGAATTCTTTTGTTTTTTCAATTGACATACTATCTTTGTTTTATCCTGACTTCATATGTCTAGCAACTGTACTTTTTTCTACACTGCACTGGTTCAACTGCTCAGTGTTTTGACAGTCATTTTCTTAACAATATCAAAATTATGCAAAGACAACTGTAATACCTGATTATACTTATTTTATTATAAATAAAATAAATATTAATAAGTATGACTCATTTATATTATGCAATATAAATATATACTCATTTATACTTATATTAATAAGTATGTTTATTAAATTACGGCTCATTTATAAAGAAGGAATAAGAGCCTTTTGCTAATATTCTAATGAAAATGGTTTTCCTTTAACCCCCACACTATCTTTCTGAATTTCCCAAACTGATTTGTCAAAAGTGTTAGTTTTGAAGCAGACTCATTTGATTTCATATTTCAACTTCCTTCCTCACCAGTTGTGCAATATTTTGAAAATTAGCTTCTAAAACACTTTCAATTATCTTTCCCCAAAGAACCATACCTTAAAAACAAAGCATTGTGTTACAACAGAGTTTATTTAAAATGAATATCATAATTTTGCTTTAAAAATGAATAACAAGTGAAAATGATGTAGAAATACACTATTCATCAAAATCTGATTTATTTGTGGAACTATTTTAAATTATAGATAAGCCACATATTGTACATATAGCTTTCTCTTTTGCTGAAAAGGTATAATGCATATTTTATTACAGTCATTCTTTAACATATTTCATACCTTAATAAGAATCATATTAATTTAACTACACAATTAATTGAGAAAAAAATAATCTGAATGCCAATGTTCAGATTAATCTGTTACTTGGATTTGAAGATGAGTACCTTTAGCAGCTAAGCACAGGATTTTCAATGGCAGTTATTTAAATCTCATAAAGGATGAAGACACTTCTTTATTATGTTTAATAAAGGTCAATGTTTCCTCAGTGGTATTTGGTAAATTTTTGTATATTTGCAAATAACATTAAGTATTTTTCGAGAATAAATTTGTAGATTCAATTTTGTTACGACTTTTATTGTGTATACTTATATGTACATTAAAGAAACAGAATTAATTACCCAAATAAGTTTCTATGTTATTTGTCATGCAAAACAAAAGCAAATGTCAGTTATTCAGTCTAAATAAAACAAAGTTTTCAAAAGAAGAAATATATTTTACTAATACAAAAAGATTGCTTAATTAAGTCTTTGTCAATATACCATAAATTTTTCAGTGAATGAGTATGTTTTCTTATGACATTTATTTGAGTTATATTTTTAAAAAATCTTGAAATATATGTGGATGAAGCAGAGGAGAATAAAATGCAATGTTTTGGAAAACATCAGCTAGTAAATTGCTTTGTATATTTATATTGGTGAGTAACCTACAATCTGATAAAAATTATTTTTTCTCTAATAATCCCATGGGCGGTCAAATATCAATAATTCTTCATTCTAAACTTTTGAAAACTTTTTTTATTTCTTGAGCTTTTGGGAACCAACTCATCCTGCATCATCGGCTTCTGTTGTCTCTTGCTGCTTATCTGTAAGTAATAAACCTGCTTCGTGTGACTTGTGTATATGTGGTGTTTTGCCTCACTGGACTTAGGACAGGTTGGTAACCAGTGCACAGTAAGCCTGCTTCACAGTCATAACATGTTGGTAAATATTTGTTCTATCTTTGTGTTGTGTGTATGCAATTGCTTTTACAAAATATCATTTTATAGTTTTATTTTTCAACTTAATAGAATATTGTAAATAGTTTATCATGCAATTATTATTCTAAAACACTACATTTAATGACTGAATAGTCATATATTTTGGAATATATCACAGTTCACTTTTACCAATATTTATATTGAGTATTTTTCATTTTTCATTTTTCTTTTTTTTTTTCTTTTATAAAGAGCACTGGTGGCCAGGCACGGTGGCTCATGCCTATAACCTTGGCACTTTGGGAGGCCTAGGTGGGAGGATCACTTGAGTCCAGGACCTAAAGACAAGCCTGGGCAACATGGCAAGACCCCATCTCTACAAATATTTTTTAAAAAATTAAAAGCAAAGAGATCACTGCTACAAGCTTCCTAATAAAGAGGGGCAAAATTAAAATTTTTAAACAATTAACCTGCATGTAACAAGCGAAACAAATGCCTGGATAATAGGAATAGGTGATGCTTTTCCATAATTGCTGTGGCTGTGTTAGCATATCCTGGACAAATATACCATTACTTTTTTGTGCTTATTTCCATATGTTTTAGCAAAAAATGTGTTTCTTGTATTTTAATTTGTTTTATTTTATCATTAATGACTGAACATTGTTTATATGTTTGTTAGACATTTGTATATATTTTTTGAGAATTGCCTGTTATCTTTTCACTTTTTTGAGAATGTTTTATTTTTAAATTTTAAAATAATTCTTCATGTATTAAGAGCACTATGTTTTATAATTCAGATTAAATATTTTCCTTAATAGTTTTATTTCTGGTGTTTTTGAAATTAAGAACAAGTTTTTAAATGTTACTCAATTTATCAATCTGTTTTCTTCTCACTCCTTAGAGTATATAAATACTCTACTTTCCTCAACTACTTTTGTTCTTTCCCCCCACTTAAAAAATATTTTTTGTAGTATGAATACTCAATATGAGATTTACCCTTTTAACAAATTATAAGTATACAAAATATTATTTTTAACTATGGGTAAAATGTTATATAACTGATGTTTAAAGCTTATTCATATTGCTTAATGGTAACTTTATCCCCTTTGAAAGTATCTCCCTATTTCTCCCTTCCTCAACGCCTGAAAACCTCCATTTCACTCTTTGGTTCTGTGAATTTGGTTATTTTAGATACATCATAAAAGTGGAATCACGCAGTACACGTATTTGTCTTTCTGCAGCATGGTCAGCATCATCTCACTTAGCATAAAGTCCTCAAGGTTCATCCAGACCATCTCGTATTACAGGATTGCCTTCTTTAAAGGCTGAATAGTATTCTATTATATGTATATACTACATTTTCTTTACCTATTCATCTGTCAGAAGACATTTAGTATGTTTCCCATCTTGGCTATTGCGAATAATGGCTCAGTGAATGTGGGAGTGCATATATCCATTTGGGATCCTGATCTTTGAGATCACTCTCTCCCTCCTGCACACACATTTTAAATCTACAGTTTATGTAGAATTAATGCTACACACACTCTAGCCCAAATCCTCATTACCTCTTACTTTCAACTTCTCTCTTTTATCCCCTATAATCCAATCTCCATGTAGCAATTAGAGTGCTTTTTCTAAAACTAAAGTATAGGTTACATCACTCCTCCATTTAAAATTTTTTCAATAGATCCTTATCACACTTAGAATAAAACCAATGTTCTTTACAATGCAATGGCTTACACAGCCCTAGGTGATCTTGCCCCACCTATCTCCGCGAACTATTTTAGCTCAACTCCTACCTTCTCCTTATTGCCATCTGCAGCCATACTGGTCTTCTTTCTGTTCTTTATATGACAACTTGTTGCCACCTTAGGGTAGTAATGTGGGAGGAAGGATATGGGTTCAGGAAGTCTTGGGTTGAAATACCTGGCACAGATTAGCTGGTTGATCAATTGGGAAGGCTGTGAGACAAAGAAAATAAGAGTTCAGAGATCTTTGGTTTGAAAAATTTGCTGTATATAAAAGCCACTTATTTATAAGAGAAACATAATTAAAGAAGCAGATTTGGAAACAGAGAAATAAAATATCTTTCTATGTTGTTAAATTCATAATATGTATTTAAGATTCAATTTAAGATGCCAAGGTTATTGACTATCAACAGCATAAAGTGCTGTTAAAGTAAAAGGGCCGGGAATATAGATTTATGAGTTATTGACATGTAGAAGATATTTAAAGCCTCGGGGATCAATGAGATTTTTGAGGAAGGCATGAGGCTATCAGTGAATGTAATCTACATCCTATATTCTTTTCCCCATTATGTACAAATTTTTGTTAGCAGAATCATTTGTATATTGTCAGAGAGCATACAATAATTTTATTCTATTCTGTCCTTCCTACTTATTGTTACCTTTCTTTTCATTTTAAATCTATAGTTAAACATATTCAACATTGCCAATTTTCTATTTGTTTTTTGATTGGCTACAGTTCATCTTCTACTCATCTATCTTCTCATATAAACAGTAGTCTGAGTTCTTTCATGTTTAAATCTATGTCTGAAAACTTTGTGTTTAATAGGTTTTGTTCACTTTATTTTGGAAATAAATGTTTCTGTGGAGACATTTGACTCCCAAAATATTTTCTTTACTTCTTCTTTTTGTCTGGCTCCTCTGGGATTCTTTTTTCTCCTGTGTATTTCAATAACTGTGATATGTGTTGACTATCAAATTTCTCTGAGTTCATGTTGAACAATATGTAGGTTGAAGTCTCAATATTTTTAGTCAATTTTTTTTCTTTTTTTTTTTAATTTTTGTTCTGCTTATTGTTTTTGTATTCCTCTCTAGGGGCAAAATGTTGTGTCTATTGGCATTTCATTGTCATTTTCTATTTTGATTATTTTCTAGTTCTTTTAGCCTATTATTTTAATCATTTCTTTATTAATAAATTTTAAGTTTCCCAATGTGCCTTAAACTATATGTGTTCTGTTATTTGTTCCTTCTAATTTAATTTTTATTTCAATAATATGTTTTTCTTATGAGTTTTGTAGTTTCCATGTCATCTTCTTCTCTTGTCTGGCTCTCACTTCCTAGTAGATGTCTATCTATTCCATAAGTATTTGTATGTCTGTTTTGTGGTCTACCCTTATAACTGGAATTACTTTATTAGATGCTTTTTAAATAAGTTCATAATGAAGTACTTGGCTATATTTTTCATTTGACAATTAAAAGTTATATCAAAAATTTAATAAATAGAAAAATTATTTAGAGGAGAGATCTAGGGAAAAAAGAGACCAAGGGAAAAGTAGTATGACATCAAAAGGCAGAATTTCAAGGGCAATAACACATTTAAGAATGAATGCTGTTATTACTATTTCATACACTATTTCCCTTCATTGTAATTATGTTCAGTGTAGAACATTGTAGTAATCTGAAGGATGATACTGGACATACTTTAAAAATGGAATCAGTTGCGTTAAAATACATTTAGAGATATTATGAAAATGTAGATAAAAGCTACTTAATGGAAGCTCACTAGACTTTAACCCAATGATCTTCATGTACTATGATATTAAACTGTTTTTTGTTAATAAAATACAACTCTAGCATATAAATTGAATTTATTATGTGGTACTATTACACAATATCTTTAATTTGCAGCTGAGATTTGAAAGACAAGAGCTAAAACTTAGAGTTCAAATGTTATCTATTTTTCTAAAAGAAATTATAATAAATTTGAGTTTATAAAATATTAAGATTCATTGTCTTCCAGCTTTAGAAAGAAGTTAATGAATATAGCACATTCACAAAATATTTTTCCTAAAAATTATTTAGTCAACAGTTAACATTTATCCATGAATAATTTGGATTATATAGGAAAACAAGTATAACTCTGGGGAAAGCATAGATCAAATCAGAAAAGTGAAAATATCTCAAATATTCTTAATGAAGAGGCAATTTAATAAGACATGTCTGTTGAGTAATTTTTGTCTGACAGATATTGGTTTAATGCTGAAAAAAACAGCAGCCTTCGTCTTTGCCTTCATGGAGAGTGCCATCCATGGGTGATCACAGGAAAGCACAGTGTGTTAAGGGTCAATTAGGTCAATGGGGGAGTATTTCAGAAGCATAAGGAATGCTTCTGAGAATGCCTAGATTCCTAGTGATATGTAAGCTTAGACCTAAATAATTAATATATAAAATTAATCTATGAAAGGGGTAAAGTAAATGTGCAGAAGTAAATTTTAGAAGGTACAAATTATTACAGATTGGAGGGAGAGGTATATGCAAAGTCCTGGAGGTTAGAGAAGTAATGGTTATGAGTCACTGGATGGATCATGGAGATCAAGAAACCTGCTGAAGAGCTGGCGCAGGTAGAGTGAGCAGTAATGACAGATGAATCTGGAAAGGAATTTGGAGACAGTTTATGAAAAGTATTGTATTAAGAAGACTGGTTCTCATCCTAAATGAAATCATAAATCATTGAAAGTATAAGCACAGGGCAATCTATAGTCACAGTTGATATCAGAGGTGAGTAAACATGGAGAGAGGGAGTCAAGAATTCCTCACAATAACGAATGATGTGTTGAAGTAGTAAGATGGCAATGAAAATAGAGAAAACAGGATACATTCTAAAGATATAGTTATGAAATGTGCTTAGTGATTGATTATTTGTTCTGAATGGTGAGGAAAAAGAATGAGAACTTACTTATTGGTTTTAAAAGTTCAGTAAATGGGGCATGGGGCGGAGGAGGGAGAGCATTAGAAAACATAACTAATGCATGCTGAGCTTAATACTTAGGTGATGGGTTCATAGGTGCAGCAAAAAACCATGATACACATTTACCTATGTAACAAATCTGCACATCCTGCATAGGTATCCCAGAACTTAAAGTAAAAATAAAAATAAATAATGAAAGTTCAGTAAATGGACAGCTGTGCTCATTCACTGAAATAAAAAGCTGTTTCGAAGAAGTTGGTTCAGACCCACTGAACTGTAGATCTCTGTGTACATTTAGTTCTGGATTCAGTTCCATATGAGGATCTGGACCTCAGAAGAGCAGTTTGTCAAGAGATACAAATTTAAGAGCCATTGGTTTCCATATCAGTGTTTCTTAAAATGTTGTGTTCCATTAGTATAACATAGGCTTTTTGTCAAAAATGCACATTTCATGGCCATCTTTCAGGGTTTTAACAGGTTACAGTATATAATTTGCACTTTAAATGGTGATTTCATAACTATTTCACCTACACATATTTGAGAACTACAATATGAAAAATAATTGAAGACAAGGAGTAGGTGAGATGACTAGAAGCACAGATAGTTAGTGGAGAAGACAGTGACTAGAACAGAGACATTCGCCACCCACAGTGGGGTAGGTATTTGAGGAAAATCTTGCAAAGGAGATTCAGTGAAGGGGGAGAGAGCCAAGGAAAATAGAGTAGGGCTTTATTAAAACTATGGAAAGATAGTAGTACTTCCAGAAGAAAGAGACTGTGGTAAGTAGTGTCAAATCTTGTTCCAAGATCTAGTAAAATGAGGAGTAGAAATTATTCATCATAAAATTTGCAAAAAGTAGGTTGTTAGAGCAGTGTCCCCAGGGGGAAGAGAGTTGTTGGCAGATTGCGCTGGTAGAGGAGGTGAGAGTTAGAAAGAGTGTATATAGGCCAGGTTTTGACTAACTATAGTGTACAAGCTAAATCTGGCCTGGAATCTGTTCTTACACAGCTTGGAAAGTAAAAATGGTATTTATATTTTTAAGGATTGAAACAAATCAAAGAAAAAATAACGCCTTGTAAAACAGGAAAATTTTATTAAGTTCTAGCATTAGTATCCATAAATAAAGTTTTATCAAAAGCCAGCTGCACTCATTTGATTATCAATTGTCTTACTTTCACCTTACAACAGTAGAGAGAAGTGGCTGCAGCAACAATCACATGTTTCACAAAGCCTAATATATTGACATGCTGGCTCTTTATGAGAAGGTTTGCCAATCCCTGGTAAAGACAATTATTTTACAACTTTGTGAAGACAGGAGAGAGAGAAACAGTTTTGAATGGAATTTGGGAGAATGAGATTTTAATTTTAATAAAAACCATGAAATTTTAAAATATTGTTAGAAAAGAACCAGAGAAAAAACAAAAGGATACAGTTTAAAAGATGAGCTAATAAGGAGGTAAAGCACTCAGAATAGATGAGAGAGAAGCATATAAATAAGAGGTGGTGCATCTCTCCTTTTGAATTTTGGTGGGAGAACCGAACAGACAGTGAATGCAGAAGCCGGTAATTTTAGAGATTTGGTAGCAGAAATAAACTTCTGTTTGATAGATATTTTAGATATGAATGTGGAGGAAGGTATGTCCACTCTAAATTATCCTTTTGACTTTTTTTTGTAACAAAACAGGACACTGAAATGTTAATAGAGTCACGATCCCATTCAAATAGTAAAATTATGTCATGATAAAAAAAATTTACAGCTGGAAAATTAATTTCCCAAATTTCTAATTTGTTTTAGTACAAGTATTTTAGAAGCAGAATATTTCATAGCCTGGACTTTCTGGTTGCATTTTTCTATCAGTAGCACAACACTAGAAAATATTTTAGGTAGCATTTAAAAATTTGAAATGATACAAATGCCTTCTATGTTTTCTCAGTTCACTGATTCAGTGACTGCATATTTCCTTTGCAGCACTCGTTACTGAAATCCTTACCTCAAATTTTCTTTTACAGTCAATATTTTTGTGTAAAGAAAGTTTTAGGTTTTCACTCATTGCCCATTTATTTTACATCATATTTAATTAAGAATTCTACTACAATGAATTTTTTAAAATGACATCTCCTGCACATCTTTTGGTAAGGTAAAATAATACAATTTTATAAGCTTTTAAGAAATTGTTTTTAGTGGTTATTAAAAAAAAGTCTAGCCCACTCAACACCTGCCACTTGAAATTGTAGAGTTTAAAATAATTATTATTTTTTAAAATAAATAATACACAGTGAAGTGCTGACCACTTTAGTAGTATTTGAATTTAATGATTGATATAATTTTTAGGCCATTTGTTAATCTTATTGTGAATACTTAATCATATTACACATTAGGCGATTCTCTGGGCATAGATTTGCAGATACTTAGTTTCTGATATATGTATCAGAAACTAAATACATATACATAAAATATCAGAAAATATGTATATCAGAAAAATATATATAGTTATTCAGTTCTTCCTTTTTGTTCCTTCAGCTAACACCTTGAAAATACATGTGTTCAATTTAACTGTTTTTCATGAACAGGAATGTAGTATTTTCTGAAATGGTAGCTACAATATTTTCATTGCTATTCAATGTCATCGAATTCAGTCATCTTAAGGAAGATTCACACAGGAGCTATCATGAAATGCCCCCCAATAAATAAAAATTTACAGGTTGGGATAGATTCTTAGGTTTTTTTGACTTTTGAGGGAAATTATGTTTTAAAAATAAATATATGCACTGAAAAGTATTTTATAGTCAGATGTATAAGGAGTAATTTTTAGAAGAAATGAAAACTAGAATTTAACTGAAGTATAAGTGAACTCTCATACAATAATGATTTCAAATTCATATCTCTGTTTCATGAACTGGAAATACTGTTTTACCCTGTTTTATTTAGAAGACTGTGTTAGATTGGTTTTAATGAGGAGCAGAAGCCAAAATGGAATTATACCTGTAAAAAAAAATTGTTGGGGGAAAAAAACTGTGAAGGATAAAGTGAGAGAGACCATGATTCAAGTGTGACACCTGTGGAAGGGAACAGGAAAGAATTGGATAGAAAGAATATGAAACCACATTATATTTCTATATTAGTTTGCTAGGGCTGCCATAACAAAGTACCACAGACCTGGTGGCTTAAAGAACAAAAATTTGTTTCCTCACAGCTTTGGAGGCAAACTTTAGTTTTAGTGATCATTTTAAACTCAAGTTTTAACAACCTTGTGGTAAACTATTTTTTCAAAATGAAAATTTCCATCAAAATCGTGTATTTTTTCAGAAACTTTCATTTATGAGTCAGAATATAACTAGTAAAGAGAGTACAATGAAGTATTTGACAAAATGATTTTGTTTAATTAATATTTTTAGTTAACTCATCAGTTAACTAAATACTTCAGATTTTTGCATCTGAAGTATTTTGTTAATCTGCCAGTGAGTTTTTAAAAATCCGTCAAGCACAGTGAAATTCACTGAACTATCTGATATAACAAACCTTTTAATAACAAACCTTTTAAAAATATCTCTTTTCTTTTGCCACAATATTTACTGATCTTAGTTTTATTCTGAATTCTTTTGAAACTAATACCTAACAGGGTAATTAAATGCATAACATAAATTTAAATTCTAGCAAAACTCAATCAGTTATGGTTTAACAATATTTATCTTTAAATAAAATCCTTAAAACTTGGCCTTCTATCCAGAGACGGTATTACATTTAAAGGAAGATTTGTAGAAGTTTAGATAAATGCTTGTAACAACCAGTGAAGTAAAGAGGATGACTAGCTGCCTGTATCTCTAAAAACTTCTCAGTGTGATATTCTTGAACTTGGTAATGAATATGCTCCCAAATCGAGGAAGGTTCAGAAGCCTGACTCGGGTTACTCATACTGGATCCAGTGATAGTCAGTGAAGTGTCACATTCATTCTTCTGAGCCCTGGGAATATGCTACTAAACAAGGACAAAACCAAAACAATGGACATCAAAAACAAAAACAGAGCAAAACAAAAAGAAGTGGGGGAAGACAGGTAAATAATCATAAATTTTGACAAGTACTGTGTTAAAAATATTAGGCAGGGTTTGGAGGATATGACATGCATTAAGATAGTTGTTGTTTTATGTTTGATGAGGAAACTCTCATTGTTATAGCTATTTTTTAGACGTAAGCCAAATGGAAGTCTTGGAGAACATTCTACATAGAAAGACTATGAAGAATTCAGAGAGAATGAGACCAGATCATAGAGGTCCCTATAAGCTATTGTTATGATTGCCTTTTACTGTGAGTGAGAAAGAAAACACTGTGTGGCCATGTTAATAATATTCAATATTGAAAAATAATGAGAGAACTCTTAGGTGATTGGTTTTATTTTTTTCATGAAGTTTTGCAACTGAGAACTTTGATATAGTTGTGAAGCAAGATCATCATCTGGGGATAGAAAGTTCAGTAGAAGGAAGAAGAAAGGAAGAGAAGTGATGAAATATCAGTTTTAAAACATAGAGCCAGAACAGAACAGCTGTGTGTATACGTGTGTGTGTGTGTGTGTGTACACTCCTGATCGGAGTGTATTTTAACCATTGTGATAGTTTCTTATCCATGATAAAAATGACATTGTAGAATAAGAAAATGTTTCACTTCTATTTGATAATCGAGTGTTTGAGCCACATATCAGGATTCACCACTAGTTTTGACAGGTTTTGACGGGCTATTGGGAATGTCAGCAAGTTGTGATTCTAATGAAGAATTCTGAACATGAATCAAAAACCTACAGAGCTTTCTCACATGATGAAGAAAAAATATTCAATGAGATCTGTTGAAGAAGCAAAGACAGACTTTATTCAAGGGGCAGGGAGTTGAGGAATGATGATAGATATAGGGACAACTGCAATAGGGGTCTTGCAGTAGGGGAGATAGATTGGGCTTAATTCTGAATACCGCATGTGCAAGTGGGAATTTATTGCCAAGGAGGAGGGTGGTGGCAGTGGATGCAAAATTACTAAGAGGAAATACCAGTGGTGCTGTGGAAACATCAGGGATGCTATGTTTCCCCAAAATTCACATGTTAATATCTTTACCTCCAAGCTGATATTATTAGGACCTGGGGCATTTAGGAGATGATTAGGTCATGGGGTGTAGCCCTGGTGAATGGGATTAGTGCCTTTCTAAGAGGCTGGAAAGAGACCCTTTTCCCATTTTGCCATGTGATGTTAGAGTGACAAGATGGCTATCTATAGGAAAAGTGAAACTCACTAGACACAGAACCTGCCAGCACCTTAATCTTGGACTTCCTAGAGTCCAGAACCGTGAAAAATAAATTTCTATTGTTTATAAGCCAACCAGTTTATGGGTTTTTGTTACGGCAGCCTAAATGTACTAAAACAAGGGGTTAAGAAGAGATTCTGGCTAAGCCAACCTAGTAGGATTTCCTGCTGAAGGCAGGTTATGTGATCAGACATTTCTTGGGGGATGGTGGAAAATGAGAAACCCAATCAAATATCCAGGATGATCAGATATCAAGGGCAGAGAGTTCTGGTTAAACTGACTCAGCAGAATCCTTGCTTCAATTGGTCAATGCAGAGATGAGCACAGAAGTCCAAAAGTCAGGCCTTATTGAAAAAGAGTTCAGGGGCGCCTCAATAGAGTTTTGTGAAAGAGATAATCTTTGTGATAATAAAGCTCTTTGCAGGAGTGCATCAAATGCTTTGATGATGGCTGTATATATATAAAGGCTTGGCCGATGATTGTTTCAGTTGGAAAATATAAGCAAATATATTTGTTATTCAGCTTTTGATACAATTTGGCTCTGGAATGTATTTCTCTAGGAAGTGAAGCAAATCATCAAGATAGCATTCCCTGAAACTTTATATCACCAGTTGGTCCTTTGATGATTTCTGATATTTATTTCTCTACATTAAAATTCATGAAAGCTCTCAATTTAAAAAATATGTTTTAAAAAACAGTCATGAGGCCAGCATTATGTAAATACCAAAATCGGACAAAGACATTACACTCAAAAACATAGATGCAAAAGTCCTCAACAAAATGCTAGCAAAATCAACCCAACAAAGTATAGAAATAGTTATAAGAATTCTACAATCAAGTGGAGATTAGCCTAGGTATGCAGACTGGTTCAACATTCCACAATCAATTGATGTAATCTCTCACATCAACACTACAAAATAAAAATCACATCAATAAATGCCAAAAAAAAGTTTGAGCATTTGACAAAATATATTACCCATTCATGATAAAAACTCTCAGTATAGTAGGAATAGAGGGGAATTTTTTCAACTTGATAAAGAATATCTATAAAAAATATATCGCTAACATGATACTTAATGATGAGAACCTGGAAACTTTCCAACCAAACTCAGGAACAAGGCAAATAGGTTCCTTCTTACAACTCCTTTTCAGCAATGTTCTGGAAGTTCTAATTCATATAATAAATCAAAATGAAATGGAAGGTACACAAATTGAGAAGAAAGAAATAAAACTGTCTTTATTCACAGATGACATAATTTTCTATGTGGAAATTTGGAAAAAAAATCAACAAAAAAAACTCCTGGAACTAACAACCAGTTATAGCAATATTGTAGGATACAACGTTAAATTTAAAAAGTCAATCACTTTCCTATATACCAGCCAGGAATGGGTAAAATTTGAAATTAAAAACACAATACCATTTACATTAGCATCCAAAAAATGACATAGCAACAAATGTAAAAAATAAAACAAAAAGTATAACATTTATATAATGGAATCTACATGCTTGTAATGAAAGAAGTTAAAGAAGAAATAAATTGAGAGTAATATTCCTACTCATGGAGAGAAAGACGAAGTACTGACAATATATTAGTTCTTCTCTACTTGATCTATCCCAATCAAAATACCATCAAGTTATTTTGTGGTTATAAACAAGCTGATTCTAAAGCTCACATGGATAGGCAAAAGATCCATCATAGCCAACAGGAATTTGAAGAACAACGTTGGAAAACTGATATTATTGGACTTCAAGAATTATCATAAAGCCACAGTAATCAAGACAGAGTGATATTGGTAATGGAAGAGACAAATAAATCAATGGAACAGAATAGAGAACCCAGAAACAGACCCACTTAAATATAGTCAACTGATCGTTGACAGAAGAACAAAGGCATTATGCAATGGAGTGAGGGCAATCTTTTCAAAAAAAGGTAATGGAACAATTGAACATCCAATGCAAAAATAAATAAATAAATAAATCCAGGCAAAACCTTATACCCTTAATTAAAATGAACAAAAAATAGATCATAGACCTAAAGGTAAAAGGCAAAACAATAAAACTCTTATAGGAGAAAACCTAGATTACCTTGGGTATGCTGATAATTTTTTAGATCCAGCTCCAATGGCATAATTCATGAAATAAATAATTGATAGACAGGTCTTCATTAAAAGTAAAAACTTCAGGCAGGGTTTGTTGGCTCACACCTGTAATCCCAGCTTTCCGGGAGGTCGAGCTGGGCGGATCTCTGGAGTCCAGGAGTTCGAGACCAGCCTGGACAACATGACAAAATCCCGGCTCTACAAAAAATTTGAAATTAGCAGGGTATTGTGGCGTGTGCCTGTAGACCCAGCCCTAGGGAAGTTTAGGTGGGAGGATGGCTTGAGCCCAGAAGGCAGAGGTTGCAGTGAGCCATGATTGCCCTACTGCCTTCCTGTCTGGGCAACAAAGAGAGACCCTGTCTCAAAAAAAAAAAAAAAAAAAAAAAAGTGAAAACTTCTGCTCTGCGAAAAGTAATATTATGAGATGAAAAAGACAGGCATAGATGGAAGTAAATATTTTCAAAAGACAAATCTGCTAAGAACTTCCAGCAGTTTGCTGGATAGATAAAATGGAATTTTCAAATATTCATGATCACACTAATAAATTAGCTGTAGTGCTATAGTTTGAAAAACAATAGTTTTAACTCTGGGGTCAAATAGACCTTATTATGAGGTAGACCACAAAATTCTGGCCCTACATGTCTATGGACTTATTGGGTGTTCCATTTAAAGGTTAGTTTTCTCATCTTTAAAATAAGCATAATAATAGTTTTTTTAAAAAAAAAACTTGTAGGGTTGTTTTACACTTTAATTGTAGAATTTGATTTATTCAATAATTGAGAGAATAGCTTCGTTCAACAAATGCTTGTGGTAACAAATATTTAGAGCATATAAAATATCATAGAACTCCGTACTTCAAAGAGTTTATGAATTGCTATTATGTTTCACTCAAGCTCATGAAGCTGATTTTAAAAAATAGAATAAAATTTATTATATTTCAAAAGGAACTATAAATGTCATGTGCACATAATAGTTACATTGATATGGCTAGTACCTTTTCTCTTGCTGTTAAACTTGAGATCTCAAGTAATAATCAGAAGGTTGATAAGTATGAAATCAGAGCATGGAGAATTAATTAGATGAAAAAAATATTTCTCATCACATCAAAGTAGTCTGAGGTACCATCTCCATATTAGAATAGTCTTGCAAAAGAAACCTTAATTTTCTTGTCTAAAGCTTGTTCTCTCCTAAATAGCCTTTAGATGTGCACTGAGACATTTATTTCACTTTATTTTTATGCCTCATGGCTCCCAGTGTCTCTTTATGTTTGCTATATTTTTGTTCTGGTTTGGTTTTTAATATGTTGCTAGATCCTATTTACAGTGCAGTCTAGCATCTCCAGGAGTAGACAGCCTGGCTTCTAATCTAACCCCATTCAAATCATTTCTTAAGCTTCGTAATGTGAAAATTTTCTCTGTTCTTCAGTTTCATTGTATAAAGTAAGCATAAAAGTTGGACCTGTTTATTTTTCTAAAACTATTGTTAAATAATGAAATGCATGTTTCATGGTTAGCTTAGCCCATAACATTTCATGTCTGACAAATATGGCTGTTCTTGATGAAATATACATTTTAGTAGATTCTTGGTGGCCCTGGGCCATTTTCTTTCTTTTTGTTATTTCTGGTCCTAACTTTGAATATCATTTATATGTTGAATATATAGTTCAGCAGTAGGAGCAGTTATATTTCTAATTTTGAAGGGATATCCTAGGTCTAAGAACTAAGACACTTTTTATAGAACTCTTAATCTCAACCAGTTAAGAGATTAGCAATTTATTTTATTATATTTTTATTTTTTTATTTTTTAGAGGCATGATATCACACTGTCACCCAGGCTGGAGTGCAGTCGCGTGATTATAGTTCACTGTAATCTCAGGCTCCTGGGCTCAAGCAATCCTCCCATTTCAGCCCCCAAAATAGCCAAGACTACAAGTGCATGCCACCAAGACTGGCTACTTTTTAAATTTTTTTGTAAAGACAGGGTCTTTGACATTGCCCAGGCTGGTCTCAAACTCCTGGCCTCAAGCAATCTTCCTTCCTCAGTCTTCCTAAGTTCTGGAATTACAAGAGTGAGCCACTGCGCCCATCTAGACTGTGTTTTAAGTATTGTCTGTCTCCCTGTATTAGAATGTTTGCTCCACAGACAAGAATCTTTGTCCATTTTGTCCACAGATATTTCCAAGCACACAGTACGCACTCGAAAGATATTTATTAAATGAATGTATGAGTAAATGACTATGTGAGGAAAAAGGCATGAAACTATTATAGTTCTATAGAAAGTGCATATTAAAAATTCATCAGCCCTGTACCTAGAGAATGAATTTTATTATCTATGAAAGTACCAAACAATATAATTCTTCTCTGGTTAAGATTGATTTGATGCAATCATTTTGAAGGTTTATTCCAGTTTCTATTTTGTCTACACGTAGAAAAACTAGGAACGGAGAACATCTCACTCGTTTTGTTACATCTTAGTTTGCAGAAAAAGAATAGTCAGTCCTAGATCGTTTTGTAAAATATCATCTTACTTTGTAAAAATAGTATTATTTAAATTAGTCAATCTTTCAGTCTGTTAAAAAATAGGTGTTATGAATAACATGTGAAAAAAATGTGTAAAAGTTAAATCCCTAAATGAGTTCTAAAATAGTCACATTGAAGGTATATATGAGAAAGATGCAAGTCATAGGAGGAAGAAATCATTTCTGATTTAATAATTCAAAAGGACAGAGTGTAAATAGATTCAGATATTTTATCTACGAAAAAGAAATTATAAATAATTGCCAAGTGAAATTTATTTTAAAGGAAAAAGATTATTTTCAATATTGTTTGCCTTTAGTTGTTGAAATATGACAGCAGGAGAAAAATAATAGTGTTCTAAGATGAATAATATTGGTTAAATAATGTTATTACAGTTTTATTCTTGGTATAGGATTAGAAATAACAGAGTAGGGGATTTTAAAAAGCATGGAGAGAAATTTCTGGAAAAAACACTACTAAGTATATGATATGTAAGTATTATGACATACTGTATCCTTTAGAATTTCTTTCCTTCCATTTTTCCAGCATAATCTCACCAGATCTTTCAAAGTCCTGTTGATAAAATTACAGTGAAGTATTTACTATTTCCAAAGCATGTCTTGTCTTTTAAAGCCTTTGTTTCACTGACCATGCTGTCTTTATTTCTCTGAAATATTAACTGAAGTGCTTCAATATCCAGGTTAAATATAAATTCATTCATGGTGATGCTTAAGTTACCCAGACATAATGTATTACTAATTTCAGGTCAATGTACTTACATACTATGTGACCCAGACAGAAGGTATTACTCACTTCGGATTCATATACTTACATACAATGTGATTATGTGTCAGGCTTTGTGCTAGGAGCTGTAAGTATAAGATGGCAATGACACAGTCTTCACCTGTAGGAAGCTGTATTAGGCAGGCTTCACTCCAGGAAACAGTAGCCCTTATACTCTGAAAGATGTTTTATTCCAAATAAGTTATGAACTTATTCTGTCTTCCATGAACCACCAGCACCTGTTCTCTTGTTCTTTTCTTATCCTTACTGACTTTAAAGCTAATGGAGCTAGATAACAAACCCCAGATTCCCTTCCTTCAGAATATATTATTGTCTGCAACCAGTCCTGGTACAAAAACTCTTTCAAGACAGAGTATAGGAAAAATAACTTTAAATATTCTATGCAAAGAAGAAAATTTAATATAGGTGCTAACACAGTCATTGGAAAAGATGGAGAAGTGTGCTTTAGGCTGTCTGTCCTGGAATGATTCCCAGAAAAGTGGAGAGCTGACCTACTTGGAAACTGACTCTGCAAGAATCAGGAAGTGGGGAGAATGGAGAAACTGGCCCTGGAATATTTGGGTTCAAACACTCAGCTGTAGCTCTGAATCAGAGATTCGAAATTTGGAATCTGAAAGCCATTGCAATCCTGCTGCAACTTCATCTCAATCCTATGAAGCTGGTATATGCACATAGAAATTTGAAGTCTGCATTCTGTCTCTGTCAAAACTATCCACTAAGTTGGTGCAAAACTAACTGTGGATCAACCTACTATTAACTGATGAATAAACAAAGAAAATGTGGTATATATACGTGATGGAATGTTATTTAGCTATAGAAAAGAAGGAAATCTTGTCATTTGCAAGAACATGGATGATCCTAGAGGATATTATGTTAGGTGAAGTAAGCCAGGCATAGAAAAACATGGCATGATCTAACTCACTTGCAGAATTTTTTAAAACATTGATTCTGTAAAATTAGAGAGTAGAATAGTGGTTACCAGAGGATAGGGTGGTTAGCGGGTATGTAGGATGGGGAGATGTTTACCAAAAGATACATAATTAGATAGGAGGAATAAATTCAAGAGTTCTGTTGTACAGCAAGGTGACTATAGTTAATATATTCTTGAAAAATGCAGAGTCAATGTTAAATGCTCCTAACACAAAAATAGTAACTGTGTTCATTAGATTCAACCATTCCACAATGTTTGTGTACTTTAAAACATCATGTTGTACATGATAAATGTGTACAATATTATCTGTCAATTAAAAAAATCTATTTTTGCTTCAACACTGGCAAAGATAAAGATTGGACACTGAAACACTGCTGCATAAAAACTCTTTGGTTACCAAAGGTAAATAATGAAAGACGCGTAAAGATGACTTTCTACTTTGCCTACTTTCAACCTTCATAAAAGTGCAACTTGGTGGCAGAATCTAATTTGAATCCTGAAAGCTAAGTAAAAGAAAATGTGTAAGAAAGGAAGATACACTAGAAGGGTGGGAAAATAGGCTAGCAGTCAATTGACAATATCCACCACAAGGATTTTCTATTTTTGCCTGTAATATGACCAACTATACATGCAATATGATAAAATAGAAATTGATATGGTATGTTCTAAAAGTGTGCAAAGTAAAGATCCTCAGTTTGGGGAGGTTTCTTGGAAGAGACGAACCATAACTGGATCATGAAGGATGAGTAAAAATAAACGAAGTGAGTTAAACTAAGTATGGAAAGTCATTCCAGAGAGAGAAAACAGAAAAGATGTAGAACAGCATGATGCTTATAATCTATCAACAGAAAATAGGTAATAGATGGTAGAGGTGAGGTAGGGGAGGAACATACCCAAGTTGGGAAAGTTTCATGTATTTTGTTAAGGAGGTTGAGCTGATTCCGTATGTAATGGAGAACCACCAGAGGTCTCTTCATGCAGAGTAAGAAAGTCAGATCAGCATTTTATAGGTCATTCTGGCACTAGTGAGAGAAAGAGATTAAATGGTGGATGGGAGGAGACAACTAGAGGGAAAGATACCTATTATACTCTAGTAGTCTTCTATGTTAGACACTATGAGTGTTTAAAATAGGGCATTTTTTATATATGCTAACACTTAGAGCACATTTTATTTGGATTATATGCATATTTTTCCTCCCCTAATGAATTGTATAATTCTTATGGACTCAAGTAGATCATCTAAAACATTTTGTCTTTAGGATTTGCAGAGTGATTGGGACATGCTAATCTCAGCACTTAATCAGATAGACTTGAATTTAAGATTATTAGAAGAATGTATTCACCAACACTATATGAAATATGGAATTAAGGCAGTGATAATTTTGATTCTAACAATATAATTTTTTTTCTCCAACAAAATCCCTAGTGGAAAATGAAAAAAAATTGTTAAATTACACAGAATTATTACAATTCTGTTTTGAAAGAGGACATTAGTGAAAGTAATTAGTGTAATTTAATAGAGTAATATGTTATCTCATTTTATTCATATTTTTCTAGTAACGATTTAAAATATTATGTGGTCTTTCCATGTCTGAGATTATCTGAATGGCTGTGTCATGATTCATGCTCTGCCCTGCAGCGAATAATGTAATCTCTGCTCTGTTATTACCTAACTTGAAAATTTAAGATAATAATTTTCCTTCTTTTCCATTATAGGAAACACTGAAGGTTTCCTATCATCAACTACTTATTATGTAATGCTTGAATTTTCTTAACTGAAATGGAAACCTATATAACTACAAAACATTCTTGTTATATCATAGTATCAATAAATGCATTTAGCTAGTATATTGAAAGTGATTGTTGTAATTGGTCCTTTTTGAAAAGAAAAATCTGGTCATTTCTAAAAGGATGTTATCGCCCGTCTTCTTAGTGAAGAAAACAAAATGAAGCGGACACATTGCTAGGGTTTTAACAAGGAACTATAAAAACTGACAGAATGTAGATGAAGACAGATGGTTGAAAAGTAAATGGTAATAACCCAAGGTAAAAAGTACAGCAGAACAGTCATATTCCTTAGAATATTGTCCTTTATCTGGCCCCATAACAATTTGAAAACTTGGTTCGGAAAGATTTGTTTATATCATAGTTCTATTTTTAATTTTTTGAGGAAACTTCCTAGTGTTTTTGATAATGTCTGTACTAATTTACATTTCCACCAGCAGTGTATAGATGTTTGTTTTTCTCTGTATTCTTGCCAGCATTATTTGTTTATTTGTTTATTTATTTATTTATTTTAGCCTTTTTGATAACAGCCATTCTAACTCAGTTGAGGAGATAACTCATTATGGTTTTGATTTGTATTTCTCTAATGATTAGTGATGTTGAACTTTTTTATTGATCTGTTGGCCATTTGTATGTCTTCTGTGAGTGTCTATTCAGGTTTTTTGCTCATTTTTAATCAAATTATTCTTTTGGTATTTAGTTGTTTGAGTTCCTTATATACTCTGGATATTAATCCCTCCTCAGATACATAGTGTGCAACTAATTTCTCTTCACCTTATTAATTGTGTGTTGTGCAGGGGCTTTTTAGTTTGATGTAATACCGTTTGTCTACTCTGTTTTGTTGTCTGTGCTTTTGAGATCTTACTAAAAAAATTCTTGCCCAGACAAATATCAAGCTTTTTCCTATGTTTACTTCTAGTAGCTTTACAGTTTTGAGTCTTGCACTTATTTCTTTAATCCATTTAGAGTTGATTTTTATACACGGTGAGAGAGAGGGGTCTAGTGTCATTTTCTGCATGTGAATATCCAGTTTTCCCAGAACCATTTATTAAAGAGATTCTCCTTTCCCCAGTGTGTATTCTTGACACCTTTGTTAAAAATCAGTTGGCTGTAAATGTATGGATATATTTTCAGGGCCTATATTTTGTTCATTGGTCTATGTGAAATCAGTGTACCAAAGAGACATCTGCTTACTCATGTTTATTGCAGTGCTATTCACAATAGCCAAGATATGGAATCAACCAAAATGCCCATCTACAGATGAATCAATAAAAAGTATATATATATATATATAAAATAGAATACTATTCATCCATGAAACAGAATGAAATGCTGTCATTTGCAACAACTTGGATACTTGGATGTACCTGGAGGACATCATATTAAGTGAAATAAGTCAAGCAGAAAAAGACAAACACCACGTGATCTCAGTCTTATGTGGAATCTAAAAAAGGGGATTTCATAGAAATAGAGAGTAGAATAGTGGTTACCAGAGCCTGGGGAGGGTGGGAAAGGCAGAATTGAGAGAGGCCAATGAATGAGTACAATATTATAGTTAGACAGGAAGGATGTTTTGGGGTTTTATTACACAGTAAGTGACTATAGAAGATAACAACATAGCATATGTTTCAAGACTGCTAGAAGAGAAAATCTTAAATGTTATCACCACAAAGAAATAATAAATGTTTAAAGTGATGGATATGGTAACTATCCTGATTTGAGCATTATACTATGTATACGTGCATTAAACCTTCACATTGTATCCCATAAATATGCATAATTATTATGTGTCAATTGTACATTTTAAAAATTAAATTTAAAAAGCATGTTATGACAATTTCATAAAATCTGTTTCCTAGGTCAACTTAAAATAATTTTATTGAATTTATAGGAACACCTTCAATTATATTTATTTTGCAGTTATGAGTTTATTTTAGTAATATATTATTTGAGCTTTTTATTTTGGAACTTAGAAAAGCTATTAAAGGATAAATTAATTGGAGTTCTTAATCTTTCAACATCCATGCTTAGCATGGTAACCTACAGTTAATGATTCTGTAGGTAGCATCAATTTTTAAGTAACATGACAAAGAATATCTCTATAAACCAATGAATTCTGTCTTGGAGTTATTTTTTCCTTCCTGTCTTTCTGACATACCTGAGTTGGACATCCACTAAGGATCTTTCATCCCTTTCCTGGGACCATCACAAGCTAGAATCTGCAGGAAACATTGTAAAGTGTGCTATAAATAAAATCAGAAAGCTTATGTTTGAATTTTATATTTATCAATTAATATCACCTCTACATTGTAGATAAATTGTTAACATTTTTTGAGAGTTGACACCCTTACATGTAGGGGATAACAATTGCTTTAAGATTTTTGAGTAGGATGATAATAATAATCATATCAATAATATATACCATTAGTGAGCTCTTACCATGTCCCTGTCACTGTGGTAAATATACATACTGTCTTATTTAAACCCCCACAATTATATGTGTTTGGTGTCATTTTTACATGCATGCTGTAGATGAAAGAACTGACACTCAGAAGTTATTTAAATTGTTCCAAGTCACAGATCTAATAAGCATTAGACATATAAATCTAACCTGGACTATTTGACTTCAAAGTCCATGCTTACAGCCACCACACTTTATGTAAAGAAAACCCATTGTATAAAAGTGTGAGATCTTTATGGACATTGACCTACAACAGCTGAGGAGTCCTTTAGCTTGACGTATATAAAATGTATGCCCTAAACTTTCTCTTATAGTTTTTCTCTACTAGTAATTAAAACCTTGTTTCAAATCTTGTCCCAAATTTAGAGATGTTTTATCTGCAACTTGTAGGGTCACAAATGGCTAATCCAATAAACTGATTGAGGGATAAAAAAGAAAGTCAGAAGCGAAATAAATCTTGCATCACCATGTAGCACATTTTAAACCACAGTCCTAATAAGAAAGTGCCCCCATTTTGGTCAGTGAGATCATTGTTAGACATTCTAGGTAAAACAGAAATGAAACTAGCATCGTCTGATACTGCTGAAGGAGATACTTTGAGACAATCATAGACTAGTGATGCTATTTAAATTATACTCTTTGGATAAATACTGGGGAAATTATATATTAACAACTATTGCAAGGGATACAAATATCTGTATCTGTAAACGAATTTCTACATTACATAGCTTCAATAATTTTGAAGCTCTTAGTCAAGGGGAGAGAGAGAAAAAAGGGATATATTTACAGAAATTTGGAGGATGGAGAGCAATAGGATGTAATGAGAGCACAATGGAGGGATAAATTATCAGGGAAATATTTTGCCAGAGATGACATTTGAGTTAAACTTTGCTGAATAAGGAGGGTTTAATCAAGATACTATGGACATTCTGCACACTTGCATGTGCAAAGCTTTTACAAGATATACAGTGCCTCGGAAAATGAAAAACTCGGGATGGCTGCCAAGGAAGGTTGCCAGTATTATTTAGGTTCATATTTTCTGCATCCCTTGAAAATAAATGTAAACAGAAATGGTAAAAATATGAGGTTCACATCAGACTATATACGCCCTGTATATTGTCATTAAAAAATGGGACTTCATCTTAATATTAAGTAATAATACTGATATTCTCAATTTGCAGTTTATAAAGATGACCCTACCACAAGTTTGGATGATTACAAAAAAAATTGCAAAACAAGACACAAGGTAAATTGTTTGTGTGCTAATTTATTAAGAGTAATTTGTCAGATACTTAATAAGTAAATTATAATAGACACTGCATTAAATCTTCATAATACATTTTAAAGTAGTGAGTTTCTCATTTTTATAGATTAAAAAAAAACTGAGACCCAGCAAGGTTAGTTAAGAAACCTGTGGTCAAGTAATGGTGGGTTCAGGAATCACATACAACTTTCTTAACACCAATCTTTTATTCTTTATCTCTTAGTAAATGCAATAACCCAGGACTTAATAAATGAATAAACTACCCCAGGGAGAGCAAAAAAGCAAACAAGGAATTTGAGAGATATGAATAAAATGTGAGTACAATCTGGCAATTTTCTTTACACGTTGAATTGCATAGCCTGTAAAAGACTATTGCTTCAAGTAAAAATCAAACTCTATCTTCTAAAAATCTGTCAGATAACAAAATTGAATTACTTGAAAATACTTTTATCCCAGAAATAACTTTTGTAAATTTCTGCGTTTAAAAAACAAATGAAAGGCTTAAACCAATAAAGTGTAACTGAACATAAAAGAAAAACTCAAACATAAATTGAATAGTTAGGTCGGAAATGTCATTAATCAATATGAAGTGTCCTCTGGAAAAGATGTTAATAATGGCTAATAAAAATTATTGCCAAGCACTTCTAAATATAAAAGTCATGCAAAATTATTAACAATGACCATCACTGCAATTATATTTTTTATGCAATATATGCATAATGAGAATATGCAAAAGCACTTCTCATATAAAAAAGTTCACAGAATTATAAAGACATTAATGCTGACAACATACTGAAAAGACAGCAAATATTGAATATTTACAATGAATAATAGAATGATCCAAACTCATGTACAATTTTATGAAATTAGAATAATAGCTTCTCCTTTTATTCTTCCTATATGTTAATCAACTTATATAATGTCTTGAATAACAGGAAATATCCTTCTTAAAATATCGGCATAAAAAGAATCTAGTCTTTTTTTCCTCAAATTTGTCTTTTTATTCTCTCAAATTTATTGTGTAAAGATTCAAAGATATAGGCAAACACATCACTAGAGCAATACACCTCCACATACCACCTCTTTATTAGATAATTATTAAAATATTTTGCTATCTTTTTCTGTATGTATCTATATTAACCAATCAATCAATCTATCTGCTATCTTTGCTGATCCATTTAAATGTAGTTGTGGACATCAAAATCTTCTACACTTCAATAGTCTAGGAAACATCTTTCCAAAATAAGAACATTCTTTAACATAACCACCCTTTTATTATCAGGCATACAAAAATAAAGTTTCCTGGTGTAATGGACATTCAATTTTCTATAACTTTCTCAATACTGCCACTTAAAATATGGGTTTAAATCAGGACTGAGTCAGATTTTATTCATTGTAGTCAGCTGTTTTCCCCTAAACTTTAATTATGACTATTTTGAAAAAAAAAATAAAGCTAACAAGGATAAAACACAACTGCATTCTATATATATCTTATTGTCTCCTCACAGTATCATTTAATTTGTTTATCTCTCTATTTCCTCTAAAAGAAATTATATCTAAAGCTTTAATTAAATTCAGGTTAAATATTTTTGGCAAGAGTGCCTCATCGTTAGTGCTATGTGCTTCATCAGTAAGCACATATGTTGGATTGGCTCGCTGTGATTGATGCTAATTTTGATAATTTGGGCACTGTATGAAGATCCCAATGCCCATCCACTACATGATGTGTTAATGCTTTCTTCCTCAAAAGACAAGCAAATCCTTATTTTTCTACACCAATTTTCAGAAAAAAAAATGATATGATAGTCGCAATGTTGTCAAATAATTTTAATCTTTTTATAAATATCATCACAGACTCAAATATTCTTGTTTATATAATATTTTATAATTACTTGCTGTTATTTTTGTTTTACTGCTTACATTATCTCAAATGCAGCTGGTAGAAATCCTTCCCAACTGGGTCATGTACATTTTGTCACTTTTCTGTTTGTCTCTGGATATTTCTTTGCTCTGGCGTAACAAGGTATCCTCGGCTTATTTTGCATTTTTCTTGATCTAGTTTTAAAATCAGCCATTTCTTCAATAAGGCATTTAATATATAATATGCATTTTATGTAAGAAAAGATAAGCAGGAGTTTAATATATAAGTATCGCCTTATTCATGCAAAAATAAAAGCTGTGAAGAGACACAAAGCAGAAACAACAAAAGTACCTATAGAATGATGCGGAAAATGTGGTAAAAAGTATAGGTATTGGAACAAAACTTTTCTGAGTATGTATCTTTATATAGTTTGTCTTTTGTATGATATATTTTATGTATATCCAAAGAATGATATTAACTAAGGAAAGAAAAGGAAAGCAAACCTAAAATGGAAAACAAATGAAATTAATGTAACTGTTATAAATTGGTAACGTACTGTCTTAAAACATATCTGCAAGTTCTTTGATGATTCTCCCTTTAAAAGATGGAGTCTGATTACACTCCTCTTGAATATGGGCTAATTTTGGTGGCTTTCTTGTAATAAATAGAACATGGAGGAATAGGCTAAATCATAAAAATTGGCACTGTTTCTGGTTGTTTCTCTTTGTCCTGGGATATGCACAATTGAGGCCTGGGTCGTCATATAAGAAGTTCACTTCCTTTGAATTTAATCATGGAACTTCCTCTTTCATTTTGTATTCCTAACATTTCCTGTGCCCTTACATGCTATGAGGTATTACATGAGACTCATATGCTATGTCAAACAAGTCTAAGATATGCAGACATGGACATTTTATTTCTTTATTTTGCTTAAAGATTTAATGACCTTACTATATTGACAAAAATTGATTGGATTAGCAATGATGATGTGTAAATAGAACCATTTATAGGCTAGATGCAAGAAGTCCTGTAGCCTATAAGGTGACCTGGTATAAGCATTTTTCCCATTAGAAAAAACTTTGTAAAATACTATCTTAAGAAATTTAGTTTAGATACACAAAAGGATCACAGAGAATGCAGAGACAAATTAAATAAAAGCTAAAAGTTAACGAAGAGGAAGTAAATAAAGAAGGATATTTAGAAAAATTCACAGGTAAGAGAAGTTGAGTCATTAAGTCACTAGGGTAGTAAATATCAGGTGTCCATTTGAAAAAACAGACTGGGTAACTAGAGCCTCAGCTGAGTTAGTGAAATTACTGCTGAGAGACACTACAGTTGCTGTTAAATTCAAAATTGCAATGATATGCTTTGGTTGTTTGTGAGAATTGACTCTGACTCTTAATATACTTTTCTTTGTTTTCTCACATTTTTGTCTTTGTCTACTAATAACTCCTATCCCTGGAAATAACCGGCATATATCTTTGGGCCTTGTGAACTGAAAGACACTAACTAAAACAAACTCCTTAATACTCTATGCTTTTGTATATTTTCAGCTCTTGCAAGTGTCTTATGCTACTTGTCTCAGAACTGGAAATGTAATATAACTCTCCCTAACTTTGGCCCTCAAATAGAGGAGATATTATATTTTCATTTTTTAATGAAATATTTATTGGGGAATTAATTATAGGCCAGGAGCTTTGCTCCAGGATGATATAATTCATGTCTAACAGGGGAAAAATCAAGTTGTTATAATAATAATATAACCTGTTATGTGCTATAGTAGATCATGATTTTAATGATGTGACAACAAAAAGGTAAATAACCCTTTTTAGTGAGTCAGGAGAGGGTAATAGAAGCTATAAATTTATGCTTGATCTAAAGCAAATATGTAGGAAATAGATATGCTCATGAGTAAGTGGTAACTTATCATGGAACTTTTATTCTTTGTCAGAGGGATATTCAGAGTTAAGGGGTTGTGAAAGGAGTATAATATTTTTAAAAAATGGTGGAAAACCATATAGTGTATGCATTTTATGTAAAGAAAAAATAACACTAAGAAAAATAGAGATCTCAAGTTATTTTAATTTGACTGGATAGCAGCTTTGCTACAAAAAAAATCCTACCATTTTAGGTCATTTGTACAATAAGAACTAGTTTGTGCAGTGCTTTGAATTACGTGTTACTCCATAGCTATGTATTGTTGCCGTGTTAAGTGTGTTTGTTTTGAATACTCTCTCTTACGGCCTTTTATAGACTTAATTGATTTCAATTGACTATATTGGAGTAGTATGTTATTGGTTTTGATTTAAAAAAAACCCTCAAATAATAAAGAAAAACACTGATAAACATGAACTTTCATGCCTTGAGATTTTGGACAGATTCTAAAGAAAGTGACAGTGAAATGTTCTCACATGTTAAAAAAAAAAAAGATCCTAGATTATTTACACAGATTTTGATCACAAGTGGCCCTAAACTGCTTTTGAGACTTGCATTCCTGCATCTGCTTCCAGGTTATGGGTGGACAAAGATAATCATGAAGAAAGATTGGCCGTGAGAGTTTCTTTGGGAGTTTGGTTAGAAAACCATGAGTTTGAGGATCTGTAACCATTTTCCAATGCCCCAAACTGGCCTTTATCTAAAAGCAAATAGGAGAAGACGTGGTTCAAGAGAGTGACTCATAGTGTATAAAATATGTACCCTGAAATTTGGAAGAAAAAATACCCACAAAATTGGAACTGGACCGTTGATAGAAACATTTGAACACGGACATGATTAGAACTGACTTTAATAGGAGAACAGAAAAAGAAAATTGAGATTCAAGAATTTGGCAGAATAATGCTATTTTCTCCTGGGCCAGACTGAATATTGTGGAAGATGTTTGGGCACGAATCATTTTGAAGGGATTTCAGGCCTGCCAGAGTAAGAGTTACGGGCTCTAAGGAGACGCAGAGAGAGGAGTCATAAGCAATCAGGTGGATAATTGTGCTAGAGAATAGTGCAGTGAAAAATTTTGATAGGTATCTCTGAAGAATCCAAAAAGTGTTGTTGAGAGTAAGATATTAAGTAGTTAAAATTAATATAAAGCCAGTAAACTTCACAGAAGAAGAGGTTGGTTGACCTTGCCTTGCTAGTTACCAAGAATGATAGATCTAAAGTAATTAAGGTAGTATCAAATGGAATGGAATAGAGCATAGAAATAGACTCATACATATTTAGAACATTTTATATCTGACAAAAGTTGCACAGTATATTGTTGGGAAGAGAACAGAATATTTAATAAATGGTGTTGGAAAAACTAGGTATTCACAGGAAGGAAAAAAGAGAAAATATTAGACTATAACTACTTAAAATCAAAGAGCTTCAGGATTATAGAAATACGAAAGAAAAAACTGTAGAGCTCATAAAAGTAGGTTTGAGAAAGTCATGCTGAAACTATGGTAGTGAAGGTTTTCTTATACAAGAGTCAAAAGCACTAATCACAAAGAAATAATAGCTATGTTTTTAAAAATGTGTGTTTATTAAAGTATGCAATAAAATTTAAAAGAAATCACTAAATGGGAAAATATTCACAAGTAACCTACGAAGTTCCACAATATATTATAAATTCATACAAATTAATGAGAAAGACAAAATCTATTAACAAATTATAGGATATTTTTACAAGTACTTGAATAGACAAAACTCAATTGGTCTACAAACATAGCAAATGTTATTCATACTCAGTGACCATTTAGGAAAACATGTTAATAATCAGGAAAGTCCACACTGAAACTACGTAAGATATGATTACACATTCACTAGATCAACAAAAGTTTTTAAGAAGTATGATGGTACTGTGGTCAAGGACATGGCAAATGGGAATTCTTATACCATGATAGGAATATATAGTGTTAAAAGTATTTTGGAAAACTAGTTTGGCATTTTTTAGTAAAGCTGATATAAACATATTATATGGTCTAGCAACTCCTTTCTTGGGTAAGGAAACTTTCACCATACACCAGAAGGCAGGTATAAGAAGTCATAGCCACTTTGTTCATAATAGCCCTGCAACTCCAGAGGCAGAGGTAAGACACAGGACCAAATTGAGGACTTGTCAAACCTGGGTCTGGGATGGAAGGTCTGGGATGGAAGCACCCCCCATTAGACACTCCCAGCAAGGTGCCATGTTTGTTTACCATTGCCGTGGAAAGGCCAAGAAATTACCACACCTTTCCATGTAATGACCTGACAACTTAGAAGTTACCATCCCTTTTCTAGAAATTTCTACATGGACTGCCTCTTGATTTGCATATAATTAAAAGTGGGTATAAATACAACTGCAGAGCTGCTTCTGAGGTGCTACATCCAGCACACTGCCTAAGAGGTTGCCTTGCTCTACAGGAGCAGTCACAGAGCTGTAACACTGCTGGAGCTGTAACACTACTACTTCTTGAGTAAAATTCTTTTTACCACTGGCTCACTCTTGAGTTCTTCCCTGGGTGAAGCCAGGAACCCTCCCAAACTAAGCCCCAGTTTGGGGCTCACCTTTCCTGTGTCAGTTCCAGACTATAAACAGTCACTAGTTGATCAATAGCAGAATGAAAATAAAACGGGCTATATTATTAATATGACAAAAAATCCAGCAATGCATATAACTGAATAACTATTCCCAAAAGTATGGATGAATCTCATAAAAATAATGTAGAGAAAAATAAGCATAAAAATAACACATAGTCTGTGACATCATTTATGAAAAGTTCAAAAGTTAGCAAAGCTATATTTTAAAACACATTTAGAGGAATTAAGATATTTTTAAAAAATAAGTAAACAAAAAATAGATTAAAAGGAGGATAGTGGTTACTATATGAGCAGAGAGGATGTATCAGACTAGGAGTAAACAGAGAACACTGGGCATTGCTTGTTTTTTTTTTATTTTGGTGGTGATTACAAGAGTAATCCCTTTAAAATTATTTTAAGTGCTGCATATATGTTTTATGTACTTTTATGCATGTGTATATTACAGTTAAAAATTTAAAAAAACTAGAGTATTAAGATACTTAGTGTTGCAGTGTGTTTAAGCAGCTTATCAAAATTCATCTCTTCCTCTTTCTGGATAAAACCTATGTTTACTTTCTCAGACTTGATTATGGTTAAGAATGGATATTTAACAACATTCTAACCAATAGAATGTGGGTGGAAGTGATGTGTAGGACTCTAATGATTGGTACATAATTAATTCCCATCTGTGCTTCTTCATGCTTTTTTTCTCTTTCAGCTGACTGTAATAGAAACAGCACCCAGCAAGACCTTCAAATATACCAGGTGAAGTTGCAAAGCCAATAGCATCTTGAATGGTCCTGTATGATTGTGTGCATGATGGGCACCCTGCTTACCTGCCCATTTCTGGTCAGATAAGCAGGAAATCAGTTTCTACTGTGTTTAAATACCTTAAATCTGCTCTAACTAATACACATAATATCTAAACATATTCAAAAAATTTGAAAAATGTATTTATAGATTTCATATTTGCCTAAAACTCTCTCTTAACATTTAATTTTCATAGCTTCTAAATTAATCACATTTTAAAATTTAAAGTAGATTTAGTGTCAACCTTCACTTTTAGAGATAGCTATACTTTTAGGATAAAAATTCATTACATAATTTGTATGTTATTGTAATCCATTAGAAGTTTTTGGTTTTTGTTATTTTATTTATTTATTTATTTATTTATTTAATTTTACTTTAAGTTCTGGGATACATGTGCAGAACATGCAGGTTTGTTACACAGGTGTACATGTGCCATGGTGGTTTGCTGCACCCATCAACCCATCATCTAGGTTTTAAGCCTCACATGCATTAAGTATTTCTCTTAATGCTATCCTTCCCCTTGCCCCCCACCTCCTGACAGGCCCTGGTGTGTGATGTTCCCTTCCCTGTGTCCATGTGTTCTCATTGTTCAACTCCCACTTACGAGTGAGAACATGTGGTGTTTGGTTTTCTGTTCCTGCGTTAGTTTGCTGAGAATGATGGTTTCCAGCTTCATCCATGTCCCTGCAAAGGACATGAACTCATTCTTCTTTATGGCTGCATAATATTCCATGGTGTATATGTGCCACATTTTCTTTATCCAGTCTATCATTGATGGACATTTTGTTTGTTTCTAAGTCTTTGCTATTGTAAATACTGCAGCAATAAACATACATGTGCATGTATTATACAGTAGAATGACTTATAATCATTTGGGTATATACCCAGTAATGGGATTGCTGGGTCAAATGGTATTTCTGCTTCTAGATCCTTGAGGAATTGCCATGCTGTCTTCCACAATGGTTGAACTAATTTACACTTTCACCAAAAATGTAAGAGTGTTTGTATTTTTTCACATTCTTTCCTACATCTGTTGTTTCCTGACTTTTTAATGATCTGCATTCTAACTGACGTGAGATGGTATCTCATTGTGGTTTTGATTTGCATTTCTCTAATGACAAGTGATGATGATCTTTTTTTCATGTTTGTTGGCTGCATAATGTTTTCTTTTGAGAAGTGTCTGTTCATATCCTTCACCCACTTTTTGATGAGGATGTTTGTTTTTTTCTTGTAAATTTGTATAAGCTGCTTGTAGATTCTGGATATTTGACCTTTGTCAGATGGATAGATTACAAATATTTTCTACCATTCTGTAGGTTGCCTGTTCACTCTGATGATAGTTTCTTTTGCTGTGCAGGAGCTCTTTAGTTTAATTACATATCATTTGTCAGTTTTGGCTTTTGTTGTCGTTGCTTTTGGTGTTTTAGTCATGAAGTCCTTGCTCATGCCTATGTCCTGAATCGTAATGCCTAAGTTTTCTTCTAGGGTTTTTATGGTTTTAGCTCTTACGTTTAAGTCTTTAATATATTTTGGTTTAATTTTTGTGTAAGGTGTAAGGAAGGGGTCCAGTTTCTGTTTTCTGCATGTGGCTAGCCAGTTTTTTCAACACCATTTATTAAATAGGCAATCCTTTCCCACTGCTTGTTTTTGTCAAGTTTGTCAAATATCAGTTGGTTGTAGATGTACAGTGTTATTTCTGAGGCCTCTGTTCTGTTCCATTGGTCTATATATCTGTTTTGGCACCAGTACTATGCTCTTTTGGTTACTGTAGCCTTGTAGTATAGTTTGAATCAGGTGGTGTGATGTCTCCAGCTTTGTTCTTTTTGTTTAGGATTATCTTGGTCATACAGGCTCTTTTTCAGTTCCATATGAAATTTAAAGTAGTTTTTTCTAATTCTGTGAAGAAGATCAGTGGTAACTTGATGGGAATAGCAATGAATCTATAAATTACTTTGGGCAGTATGGCCATTTTCATGATATTGATTCTTCCTATCCATGAGTATGGAATGTTTTTCCATTTGTTTGTGTCCTCTCTTATTTCCAAGGAATGTTTTTCTATTTGTTTATGTCCTCTCTTATTTCCTTGAGCAGTGGTTTGTAGTTCTCCTTGAAGAGGTCCTTCATATCCCTTGTAAGTTGTATTCCTAGGTATTTTATTCTCTTTGTAGCAATTATGAATGAGAGTTCACTCATGATTTGGCTCTCTGTTTGACTATTATTGGTGTATAGGAATGCTTGTAATTTCTGCACATTTATTTTGTATCCTGACACTTGGCTGAATTTACTTAACACCTTAAGGAATTTTTAGGCTGAGATGATGAGGTTTTCTAAATATACAAACATGTTATCTGCAAACAAAGACAATTTGATTTCCTCTCTTCCTATTTGAATACCCTTTACTTCCTTCTCTTGCCTCATTGCCCTGACCAGAACTTTTAACACTGTGTTGAATAGGAGTGGTGAGAGAGGGCATCCTTGTCTTGTGCTGGTTTTCAAAGGGAATACTTCCAGCTTTTGCCCATTCAGTATGATATTGGCTATGGGTTTGTCATTAATAGCTTTTATTATTTTGAGATACGTTTCATCAATACCTAGTTTATTGAGTGTATTCGGCATGAAGGATGTTGAATTTTACCAATGGCCTATTCTGCATCTATTGAGATCATTATGTAGCTTTTGCCATCGGTTCTGCTTATGTGATGGACTACATTTATTGATTTGCATACATTGAAGCACCTTGCATTCCAGGGATGAAGCCAACTTGCTTGTGGTGGATAAGATTTTTGATGTGCTGCTGAATATGGTTTGCCAGTATTTTATTGAGGATTTTCACATCCATGTTCATTAGGGATATTGGCCTGAAATTTTCTTTTTTTGTTGTGTCCTTGCCAGGTTTTGGTATCAAGATGATGCTGGCATCATAAAATGAGTTAGGGAGGAGTCCCTCTTCTTCTATTGTTTGGAATAGTTTCAGAAGGAAAAGTACCACCTCCTCTTTGTACCTCTGGTAGAATTCAGCTATGGATCCATCTGGTCCTGGGCTGCTTTTGGTTGGTAGGCTATTAATTACTGCCTCAATTTCAGAACTTGTTTTTGGTCTATCCAGGGATTCTACTTCTTCCTGGTTTAGTCTTGAGTGGGTGTATGTATCCAGGAATTTATCCATTTCTTCTAGATTTTCTAGTTTATTTGCATAAAGGTGTTTATAGTATTCTCTCATGGTAGTTTGTATTTCTGTGGGATCAGTGGTGATATCCCCTTTATCATTTTTTATTGTGTCTATTCGATTTTTCTCTCTTTTCTTCTTTATTAGTCTGGCTAGTGGTCTATTTTGTTGATCTTTTCAAAAAAAAACAGCTACTGGATTCATTGATTTTTTGAAGGTTTTTTTGTGTCTCTATCTCCTTCAGTTCTGCTCTGATCTTAGTTATTTCTTGTATTCTGACAGCTTTTGAATTTGTTTTCTCTTGTTTCTCTAGTTCCTTTAATTGTGATGTTAGAGTGTTGATTTTAGAACTTTCCCGCTTTCCAATGTGGGCATTTAGTGCTATAAATTTCTCTCTAAACACTGCTTTAGCTGTGTCCCAGAGATTCTGGTATGTTGTGTCTTTGTTTTCATTTGTTTCAAAGAACTTATTTATTTCTGCTGTAAATTTGTTATTTACCCAGTAGTCACTAAGGAGCATGTCGTTCAGTTTCCATGTAGTTATGCGGTTTTGAGTGAGTTTCTTCATCCTGAGTTCTAATTTGATTGCACTGTGGTCTGAGAGACTGTTTGTTATGATTTCCTTTCTTTTGTATTTGCTGAGGAGTGTTTTACATCCAATTATGTGGTCGATTTTAGAATAAGTGCTATGTGGTGCTAGGAAGAATGTATATGCTGTTAATTTGGGGTGGAGTGTTCTGTAGATGTCTATTAGGTCTGCTTGGTCCAGAGCTGAGTTCAAGCCCTGAATATCCTTTTTAATTTTCTGTCTCGTTGATCTGTCTGATATTGACAGTGGGGTGTTAAAGTTTTCCACTGTTGTTGTGTGGAAGTCTAAGTCTCTTTGTAGGTCTCCAAGAACTTGCTTTATGAATCTGGGATCTCCTGTATTGGGTGCATATGTATTTGGGATAGTTACCTCTTGTTGTTGCATTGATCTCTTTACCATTATGTAATGCCCTTCTTTGTCTTCTTTGACCTTGTTGATTTAAAGTCTGTTTTATCAGAGACTAGAATTGCAACTCTTACTTTTTTTGCTTTCCATTTCCTTGGTAAATATTCCTCCATCCCTTTATTTTGAGCCAATCTGTGTCTTTACATGTGAGGTGGGTCTCCTGTATACAGCACACCAATGGGTCCAATTTGCCAGGCTGTGTCTTTTAATTGGGGCATTTAGCCCATTTACATTTCAGGTTAATATTGTTATGTGTTAATTTGATCCTGTCATCATTCTGCTAACTGGTTATTTTACACTTTAGTTGATGCAGTTTCTTCATAGTGTCGTTGGTCTTTATATTTTGCTATGTTTTTGCAGTGGCTGGTACCGGTTTTTCCCTTCTGTATTTAGTGATTCCTTCAGGACCTCTTGTAAGGCATGCCTGGTGGTGACAAAATCCCTCAGCATTTGCTTGTCTGTAAAGAATTTTACTTCTCCTTCACTTATGAAGATTAGTTTGGCTGGATATGAAATTCTGGGTTGAAAATTCTTTTCTTTAAGAATGTTGAATATTGGCACCTACTCTCTTTTGGCTTGTAGAGTTTCTGCCGAGAGATCTGCTGTTGGTCTGATGGGCTTCCCCCTTTAGGTAACCTGACCTTTCTCTCTGGCTGCCGTTAACATATTTTTCCTTCATTTTAACCTTGGTGAATCTGATGATTATGTGTCTTGGGGTTGCTCCTCTTGAGGAGTATCTTAGTGGTGTTTTCTGTACTTCTTGAATTTGAATGTTGGCCTGTCTTGCTAGGCTGGGGAAGTTCTCCTGGATAATACCCTGAAATGTGTTTTCCAACCTGTTTCCATTCTCCCTGTCACTTTCAGGTATACCAATTAATCATAGGTTTGGTCTTTTCACGTAGTTCCATATTTCCTGGAGGCTTTGTTCATTCCTTTTCATTCTTTTTTCTCTAATATTGTCTTCGCACCTTATTTCAGTAAGTTGATCTTCAATCTCTGATATCCTTTCTTCCACTTGATCTATTCAGCTATTGATACTTGCATATATTTCACGAAGTTCTTGTGCTGTGTTTTTCAGCTCCATCAGGTCATTTATGTTATTCTCTAAATTTGTTATTCTAGTTATCAGTTCCTGCAACCTTTTATCAAGGTTCTTAGCTTCCTTGCAGTGAGTTAGAACATGCTCCTTGAGCTCAGTGGACTTTGTCATTACCCACCTTCTAAAGCCTACTTCTGTCAATTCATCAAACTCTTTCTCCCTCCAGTTTTGTGCCCTTGCTGGTGAGGAGTTGTGATCCTTTGGAAGAGAAGAGGTATTGTGTTTTTTGGAATTTTCAGCCTTTTTGTGCTGATTTTTCCTCATCTTCATGGGTTTATCTACCTTTGATTGTTGATGCCGAGGACCTTTGGATGGGGTTTTTGTGTGGGCATCCTTTTTGTTAATGTTTATGTTATTGCTTTCTATTTGTTAGTTTTCCTTCTAACAGTCAGGTCCCTCTTCTACAGGTATGCTGGAGTTTGCTGGAGGTCCACTCCAGACCCTGTTTGCCTGGGTATCACTAGTGGAGGCTGCAGAACAGCAAAGATTGCTGCCTGCTCCTTCCTCTGGAAGCTTCATCCAAGAGGGGCACCTGCCAGATGCCAGCTGGAGCTCTCCTTTATGATGTATCTGTTGACCCCTGCTGGGAGGTGTCTCCCAGTCAGGAGGCAAGGGGATTGGGGACCCACTTGAGGAGGCAGTCCGTCCCTTAGCAGAGCTCGAGCACTGTGCTGGGACATTCATGGCTCTCTTCAGAGCCCTTGCACTTTCTGGGTGAGGCAACACCTCACCCTGCTTCTGCTCGCCCTCCATGGGTTGCACCCACTGTCTAACCAGTCTCAATAAGATGAATTGGGTACCTCAGTTGGAAATGAATAAATCGCGAACCTTCTGCATTGGTCTAGCTGGGAACTCCAGACTGGAGCTGTTTCTATACGGCCATCTTGAAAACCTATTAGAAGTTTTTAAATATCTCAGGGAACATAGCAGAATTAATGTTGAGAATCATACAACACTTTTAAAATTTATCAGACTGTTTAAGTATCTTAATGCAGACACTTAATTTGTACAATATTGAAAAAGTTCTAGAAAAATCAACTTTTCAAAGACACTGGCACATTTGGAATATTTTGATTAAAATTTCCTGTTCATGTTACATTGAAAATTGATGTGGTCATATATTTTAGCATTCAACTTATGTGTATATATATTTTCAAATATTTGTTATTATTAACACTATTGTTAAAAATAAAAAAAGTTTAGTCATAGAATATTGTAGCAAGAAATATAAATTTGACTATGAACAAAAATGTCATGCATGCAACTAAATTTTTATTCTTCTAACTGCAAATAATCACCCAGAAGAAAGCCAGTTTTGCTTGGATTTTTAAAATATTTGTGGGATACTCAAAGGTGGGATTTTTTAAATCAGCAAAATGCGGGGCTTCTCCTATTTGGACCTGAAAAAGGCTTGAGGCAGCACTAAGTTACTTTTATTTTTATTTTTTTATTTTTGTGGGTACATAGTGTGTGTATATACTCATGGAGTACATGAGATGTTTGATACAGGCATGTAATGTAGAACAGTCACTTCATGTGGGAATGGGGCATCCATCCCCTCAAGTATTTATTCTTTGTGTTATAAACAATCCAATCACACTTTCAATTATTTTAAAATGCGCAATTAAATTATTATTGACTACAGTCACCCTATTTTGCTATCCAATATTAGGTCTTATTCATCCTTTTAATCTTTTTTTTTCTTATACACACTAAACATCTGCATAGCACTTGCTCCATTACTAGCAGTCCCAGACTCTGGTTACCATCCTTCTACTATGGATCTCTGTGAGTTCAATTTTTTTGATTTTTAGATCCCACAAATAAGTGAAAACACATAATGTTTGCCTTTCTATGCTGGCTTATTTCACTTAAGCTAATGACCTCAAGTTCCATCCATGTTTTTGAAAATTACAATATCTCATTCTTTTTTATGGATAAATAGTGCTCCATTGTGTATAAGAACTACATTTTCCTTAACCATTTTTCTGTTGTTGGACAGATTAATTCAAAATCTTGGCTATTGTGAACAGTGCTGCAACAAACATGACAGTGCAGACATCTCTTCAATATACTGATTTCCTTTCTTTTGGATATATACCCAGCAGTAGGATAGCTGGATTGTATGGTAGCTCTATTTTTAGTTTTTGAGGAACCTCCAAACTATTCTGATAGTGGTTGTACTAACTTACATTCCCATCAACAGCATATGAGGGTGCCCTTTTCTCCATTTCCTCGCCTGCATTTGTTATTGCCTGACGTTTGGATATAAGCCATTTTAACGGAGGTGAGGTGATATCTCATTGGAGTTTTCATTTGCATTTCTCTGATGAACAATGATGTTGAGCATCTTTTCATATTCATGTTGGTCATTTATATGTCTTCATTTGAGAAATGTCTATTCAAATATTTTGCCCATTTTTAAATCAGATTAGTAGATTTTTTTCTATAGGGTTGTTTAAGCTCCTTATATATTCTGGTTATTAACCCCTTGTCAGATGAATAGAAAATATTTTCTCCAATTTCGTGTGTTGTCTCCTCATTTTGTTGATTGTTTTCTTTGTTGTGCAGAAGGTTATAATTTGTTGTGATTCCATTTGTTTACTTTTGCTTTGGGTGCCTATGCTTGTGGGATATTACTTAAGAAGTTTTGCCCAAACCAGTGTTCTGGAGAGATTCTCCAATGTTTTCTATTAGTAGTTTCATAGTTTGAGGTCTTATATTTGAGCCTTCAATGCATTTTTATTTGGCTTTCATACATGGTGAGAAATAGGTGTTTACCTTCATTCTTCTGCATATGTGTATTCAGTTTTCTCAACACTATTTATTGAAGAGACTGTCTTTTCCCAGTTTATGTTGTGGGCTCCTTTGTCAAAAAATAGTTCACCGTAGGTGTATGGATTTGTTTCTGAGTTCTCTATTCTTGCTCATTGGTCTATGTGTCTGTTTTTATACAAGTATTATTAATATATTGTTTTTGTTACTATATCTCTGTAGTATAATTAGAAGTCAGGTAACGTGATTTCTCCAGTTTTGTTCTGGGTTTTTTGTGATTCCACATAATTTTTATCATTTTATTTTTTTTTTTGTGAAGAATGTCATTGGTATTTTAATAGGAATTGCATTGAATCTGTAGATTGCTGTGGGTAGTATGGACATATTGATAATATTGATTTTTCTAATTTATGAACATGAAATATTTTTCTATTTTTTGGTGTCTTCTTCATTTTTTTATTAATGTTTTAAAGTTTTTATTATAAATATTTTTCACTTTGGTTAAGTTATTTCCCAGGTATATAATTTTTGTGGCTGTTATAATTGGATTACTGTGTAAAATTCTTTTTTCGGAGTTTTCACTATTGGCATATAAAAATGCTACTGATTTTTGTACATGGATTTTGTATCCTGCAAATTTACTGAGTTTGTCAGTTTTAATAAGTTCTTTTGTGTGTAGTCTTTAGATTTTTCCCAATGTAAGATTATTTCACCTGCAAAGAAGGGTAATTTGACTTTTTATGTCAAATTTGGAAAGAAATTTTTATTATTTCTTTGTCTCATCTCATTGCTCTAGCTAGGAGTTCCAGCACTATGTTGAATAACAGTGGTGAAAATAGGCATCCTTGTCATGTTCCAGCTCTTAGAGGAAAGGGCTTTTCCCATTGAGTGTTATACTATCTGTGGCTGTGTTCTATATGGCTTTTATTTTGTTGAAGTATCTTCCTTCTACACCCAGTTTTTTGCGGGTTTTTATCATGAAAAGATGTTGAGTTTTATCAAATGCCTTTCCAGCATCAATTAAAATCATCATATAGTTTTTATCCTTTATTCTCTTGATATGATGTATCCTGTTGATTGATTTGCTTATGCTGAACTATCCTTGCATCCCAGGGATAAATCCTACTTGGTCATGATAAATAATCTTTTTAATGTATTGTTGAATTTGGTTTACGAGATAGTTGAGGGTTTTTGTAACAATATTCATCAGATACATTGGGCTGTCGCCTTCTGTCTTTGATGTGTCTTTGTAAGGTTTTGGTATCAAGGTCATACTGGCCTCATAGAATGAGTTTGGAGGTATTTCCTTCTCCTCTATTTTTCAGAATAGTTTAAGTAGGATTGCTATTAGTTCTTTTTTAAATGTTTGGTAGAATTCAGCTGTGAAGCCATTGTATCTCAGGCTTTTCTTCATTGAGAGACATTTTATTATGGCTTTGATCTTGTTATTTGTGAATGGTCTGTTCAGGTTTTGGATTTCTTCCTAGTTCAATTTTGGTTGGTTTTATGCATCTAGAAATGTGTCCATTTCTTTTATGATTTCCAATTTATTTGCATGTAGTTGCTTAGGGTAGCTTCTGATGATCCTTTGACTTTCTGTGGTATCAGTTGTAAGGTCTCCTTTGTTGCCCCTGATTTTATTTTTTGGGATCTTGCCTTTTTCATTTTGGCAAAAATTTGTCAGTTTGTTTAACTTTTCAAAGAACCAATATTTGGTTTCATTGACCTTTTGTATTATCTTCATTTCAATTAATTTATTTATTCTTTGATCTTTATTATTTCTTTTCTTCTACTAATTTTGGGTTTGGTTTGCTCTTGCCTTTGTAGTTCTTTCAAGTGCATTGGCAGATTTTTTTAAAGTTTTTTTTTCTTTTTTGATGTAGGAATGTATAGCTATAAACTTTCCTTTTAGTACTCTTTGTGCTGTATCTCATAAGTTTTGGTATGTTCTGTTTCCATTATCATTTGTTTTAAGTAATTTTTAAATTTCATTCTTAATTTCTTCATTGACACACTGGTTTTCCAGGAACCTATTGTTTAATTTCCATGTATTTTTATAGTTTCCAAAATTCCCTGTTATTGATTTCTGGTTTTATTCCATTGTGGTTAGAAAAGATACTTGATATTATTTCAATTTTTTTTATGTTTTAAGACTTATTCTGTTACCTAACATGATCTTTTCTGGGGAATGATCCACATGCTGAGCGAAAAAAAATGTGAATTTTATAGCCTTTGTAAGAAATGTTCTATAAATATATATTATGTCTATTTGGTCTATAATGCAGATTAAGTTTGGTGTTTCTTTGTCCATTCCCTGTCTGGAAGATCTTTCCAATGCTGAAAGTGGCATGTTGAATTCTCCAGCTATTCTTCTTTGGGGTCTTTCTCTCACTGTAGCTCTAATAATATTTGCTTTGTATATTTGGGTTCTCCATAGGTGGGCCCATATATATTTGAAATTGATATATTCTCTTGATGAATTGACCCATTTATCATTATGTAGTAATCTTCATTGTCTCATTTGAGAGTTTTTGTCTTATAATCTATTTGTCTGATAAAAGTACAGCTACTTCTATACTCCTATTTTTTTTTTGTTCCCCTTGGCATGGAGTATCTTTTCCATCCCTTTGTTTTTCGTCTATGTGTATCTTCATAGGTGAAGTGTGTTTCTTGTAGGCACAAGTTCATGGGGTATTTGATATGGTTTGGATTTTTGTGCCACCCAAATCTCATGTCTAATTGTAATCCCCAATGTTAGGAGAGGTGCCTGGTGAGAAATTATTTGATCATGGGGGCAGATTTTCCCCTTATTGTCCTCCTGATAGCAAGTGAGTTCTCATGAGATCCGGTTGTTTAAAGGTGTGTAGCACCTGCTGCTTCACTCTCTCCCTCATGCTCTGGCAAGGTAAGATGTGTTTTCTCCTTCAACCACGATTGAAAGTTTCCTGAGGCCTCTCCAGCCATGTGTCCTGTACAGCCTGTGGAACCATGAGCCATTAAAATTCTTTTCTTTATAAATTACCTAGTCTTTGGTTGTTATTTATAGCAATGTGAGAATGGACTAATACAATCATGTTTTTTAGGCTATTCAGTCACTGTGTGTCTTTTTATTTGAGAGTTTAGACCATTTACATTCAATGTTAATATTGATAAGAATTTATTTTTGCCATTTGTTATTTTTTTCTGTTTTTTTGTAGTCTTTTCTTCATTCTTTCTTGTTTTCCTTTTGATGAAGATGCTTTTTATTGGTGATATGATTTGTTTTCTTGCTTTTTATCTTTTTGTGTATGTATTCATTGTATGGTTTTGGGTTTGAGGTATCATAAGGCTTGAAAATATTGCTTTATAACCCATTATTTTAAGTTGATAACAACATTTTTGGTGTAAACAAACAAGCAAAAAGAAAACTAATATAAACTTTATGCCTTAACTTTGTTCTCTGCTTTCTAACTTTTTATTGTTTCTATTTACCTCTTATTGTACTGTCTATGTCTTGAAAAGTTGTTGTAGCTATTATTTGCTGTTGATTTACTGTTTAGTCTTTCTATTTATCAGTAATTTACACAACACAGTAGCAGTGTTATAATATTTTGTGTTTTTCTGCATACTTACTATTACCAATAAGTTTTTTACCTTCATATTATTTCTTATTGCTCATTAAAATTCTTTTCTTATGAATTGAAGTATTCTCTTTAGCATTTCTCTTAGGACTGTTCTGGTGATAATAAAATTTCAGCTTTTCTTTGTCTGGGAAAGTCTTTATTTCTTCTTCATCTTTGAAGAATATGTTGACTGGATATACTATTATAGGGTAAAAGTTTTGTTTTTCTTTTTCCTTCGGCACTTTAAATATTTCATGCCACTCTCTCCTCACCTATAAGGTTTCCACTAAAAAAGTCTGCTACTAGGCATATTGGAGCTCCATGGTACGCTATTTATTTCTCTTATCTTGCTGCTTTTAGGATTCTTTCTTTGTAAATCTGATTTGTAAATCTTGACCTTTGTAAATCTGATTATTAGTGTCTTGAATTAGTCTTACTGGAGAATTCTATAACCTTCTTGTACTTGGATATTGATATCTTTGTCTAGGATTGGAAAGTTCTGATATTATCCCTTTGAATAAACTTTCTACCTCTATCTCTTTCTCTACTTCCTTTTTAAGACCAGTAACTCTTAGATTTGCCCTCTTGAGGGTATTTGCTAGATCCTGTAGGCATGATTCATTGTTTTTTATTCTTTTTTCTTTTGCCCCCACTTACTGCGTATTTTCAAATAGCCTGTCTTCAAGCTCACTACTTCTTTCTTGTGCTTGATCAGTTCTGCTGTTAAGAGACTCAGATGCATTCTTCAGCATGTCAGCTGCATTTTTCCACTTCAGAATTTCTGCTTCTTTTAAATCATTTCTCTCTTTGTTACTTTTTTTGATAGAATTCTGAATTTCTTCTTTGTGTTAACTTGAATTCCTTTGTACTTCCTCAACATAGCTGTTTCAAATTTTCTGTTTGGAAGGTTATATACCTGTTTCTCCAGGATTGGTCCCTGATGCCTTATTTAGCTCATCTGGTGAGAACACGTATTTCTGGATTATCTTGATATTTGTATATGTTCATCTGAATCTGGGCATTGAAGAGTGAGGTGTTTATTGTAGTCCTCACAATCTGGGTTTGTTTGTACCCATGTTTCTTGGGAAGGCTTTCCAGATATTCAAAAGGACCTGGATGTTGTAACCTAAGTGTACCTGCTTTAGGGGGCACCCCATGCCCATTACTGCGGTGTTTCTTGCAGACTCGTAGAAGTATCACCTTGATGGTCTTGGATAAGTTTCAGGAGAATTCTCTGGATTGCCAGGTAGAAACTCTTGTTATCTTCTCTTACTTTCTCCCAAATAAATAGAGTCTCTCTCTCTCTGTTTGAGTCACCTGGAGCTGGGGGTTTAGTGATACAAGTACCTCTGTTGCCACTACCATTAGGACTCTACTGGGTCAGACTTGAATCCAGAACAGCACTGGGTTTCACATAAGCCTGTGTTAACCACTCCATGGCTACTACCTATGTTCTCTCAAAGCCGTGGTGCTCTACACTGGCATCCGGCAAAGCCAGCCAGGCCTATGTCCCTCCCTTTGGCATGATGAGTTTCTCTAGGCCCTGGACAGCTTCAGAGTTGCCACCTAGCAACTGGAGACCAGCTATTAAAAACCTTAGAAGACTGCCTGGTGTTCTATTGTATTGTAGCTGAGCAGGCACTCAAACCACAGGATGCAGTCCTTCCCATATTTCCTACCTTTCCAAAGACAGAGGAGCCTCACTCCATGGCCACTGCCACCACAGGCCAAGAGGGGTATTGCCAGGCTACCATCAAAGTTCTCTTAAGGCCCGAGGTCTCTTAAGTCTGCTTGTGGTAAATGCTGCCTGGATTTGGACTCACCCTTCAAGGCTGTGAGCTCCTCTCTGGTCCAGGGCATGTCCAGAAATGTCATCCAACAGCCAAGGCCTGGAATCAGGGACCCCAAGAGCCCACTTGGTGCTCTACTCCTCTGTGGCTGAGCTGGTACCTGAGGTGCAAGGCAAAGTTCCCTTTACTTTTCTCACCATTTTTCTCAAGCAGAAATCTTGCCCAGTGGCCACCACAGGCAATGTGCTGAGTCTCACTTCAAGCCAGCAAGTCTCAGAGTCTTACCCAAGGCCCTTGATGTAGTACCTATGTATCACCACTGGTTTTTCATGGTCCAACAGCTCTTCTGTTAGCAAGTGATGAAACCTACAAGGACTGGTTCTTCCCTTCCAGGCAGCAGGTTCTCTTCCTTCCTAGGGTGTGTTTAGAAATGTCTTCTAGAAAGGGAGCCTCACAACTCTAACCATTGGCCTATCCTGCTGTGGCTGAGCTGGTATCTACGATTCAAGACAAATTCCTCCCCACTTTTTCCTCTCCTCTCCTTAAGCTGTAAGAAGGGATCTCTTTCATAGCTGTAAGCTATATAGCTTGGGGTTAATAAAGGGTTGATGCCAGAATTCCTTTAGCCATTCCTGCTGGTGTCTCAGTAGGGTTGCATGCCCCCTGCTTGTCCTTTGGCTCTGGGCCCAGGTCAGCACTATGACTTGCCTAAGAGTTGAAGTCCTTGTGGCCTAGACTTCCTTTCAAGTTTATTTAGGACCTCAGGACACTTTAGCCTGCTGTGATGAGGCTTGCAGAAACTCAAGTTCTGAACATTGGGAGCAGTGATTCCTCTCTGGCTAGGACTGGTTTAAATGCACCCTCCATGGTCTGGCATCAGTTTGGTCCAGTATATTTTTTCTGCTGTAACAGAGTAGCTCTGCGTTCATTGCATCACAATTGCTGAGGTTTCCCTCTCCCCAGTGCACAAAAACTTTTTTGCATCATGCTACAGCTGCCAGGGGGGAAGAGGGAGGAGTGGTGTATTGGTTTGTTCTCATGCTGCTATACAGAAATACCTAAGACTGCGTAATCTATGAAGAAAAAAGTTTTAATTGACTCACTCTCTATCATGAGAACAACAAGGTGGAAATATGTTCACACAATCCAATCACCTCCTACCATGCCCCTCCTCCAATTTGACATGACATTTGGGTGGGGACACAAATCTAAACCATATCCTCCCACCCCTGAACCTCCCAAATCTCATGTCCTTCTCACATTACAAAATATAAGTATCTTTTCTCAACAGTCCCTCAGTCTTAACTCATTTCGGCATTAACTCAAAAGTCCACAGTTCAAAGTCTCATCTGAGACAAGCGAAGTATCTTCCATCTATGACCCTGTAAAATCAAAAACAAGTTAGTTACTTTTAAGATACAATGGGGGTACAGGCATTGGGTACATAATCCCATTCCAAATGGGAGAAATTGGCCAAAACAAAGAAGTTACAGGTACCACGCATGTCTGAAATCCAACAGAGCAGTCATTAAATTTTAAGGCTTAAAAATAATCTCCTTTGACTCCATGACTCCATGTCTCACATCTAGGCCACAATGATGCAAGGGAATGGATCTCACAGCCTTGGGCAGCTCTACCTCTGTGGCTGTGCAGGATATAGCCCCCACAGGTCCTTCTACAGGATGGCGTTGAGTGCCTGTGGCTTTTCCAGGCATGTAGTGCAAGCTGTTACACCATTCTGGAGTCTGGAGAACTACAGGCTTCTCCTGTAGTTAAATATGCAATATACTTTCATTTTGCCCCTCTTGGCTTTTATGCTATTTTAATTTTTTTAAAATTCCTATATATGTTATAAGCTCTACAAATTTTTGTTATTTTTCTTTAAACAGTAATTTGTTTTTAAAATAAATTCCATTAGTATGATACAAAGATTTTTTATGTTTTACTAAGTGGCTACCATTTCTGAAACTTCTCACCCTTTATGTAGATTTAGATTGCCACTTTGTATCCTTTTCCATCTGCCTAAAATATATACTTTAATATTTTAGCACAGTTCTGCCCATGAAGAATTCTCTGAGTGTTTCCATGCTGAAAAAGTTCATGTTTTGCATGTGTATTTTAAAAATAGTTTACCAAGTATAAAATTAATAGCTTTCTTTCTCTCAACATTGTAAAGATAGTGCTTTTTTAAATTTATTCCGGATTGCACTGCCATGATAAAAATAAACATCCACCCTTATTTTTATTTCTCTATATGTGATGCACCTTTTCTCACCAACCCCGGTTTGCCTTTAAAATTTTCTGTTTGATGTTTATTTAACTACTTGGCTTTTTGCTATTTTAGCTATTTAGATACTGGGTTTTCATAATGTTTGAAAATTTTGGGACATTATTTTTTCAAATTTTGTTTTTTTTTTTACCCCATCCCTCTCCTATATTCCAGGGACCCATTTAATGGTTTTCCACAGTTAATTGATAATGCATTCTTTTGTTTTCCTTCAGGTTATTTTCCTGCGAATTTTATTTTAGATAGTTTCTATTGCTATTATTTCAATTTCATTTATGTTTTCAATTGCAGTGTCTATTCTTCCATTATTCTCATGAAGTTTATTATTTTTTTCTTCATATCTCATCTCTATTATTTTAATTTAGGGCTTTTTAATATCTTCACTGTTTCTACTTTTGAACAGATGGCAACCAGTTATATTGATTGTTTTAATGTCTTTTTCTATTAATTATATTAAATATGCCAGTCTGTTCAGATTGATTATTATACTCAATATGACTCATGTTTACCCAATTCTTTGAATGTCTGGTAATCGTTTATTAGAGACTAGTCATTGTGAATTTTACCTTTTCTATACTATAAAAATTCTTGAGCTTTGTTCTGGGACATGGTAAAGTCAATTAATAATATTTTCATTATTCTGGGGTTTTAATCTATGATTTACTAAGTTGTACCAGAGCACTATATAGTCTAAGGCTAATTTTTTCCCTTTACTGTGGCTGAATGTCCTGTGTGTTCTACTCAATGCCTTGTAAATTATGGGACTGTCTACTCTGACTTGCGGGAATGTTAAGTACTAGCATCCCCAAGTGAACTGCAAGGTATTTTTCTTCCAGTCCTTTCAGGAGGCCCTGGCCTTGGGTAGTTTCCTCACATGCATGTACTGACAAGTACTCAAGTGAACCCCTCAGGGAAACCCTGTGCAATTCTTTTCACTTCCCTCTCTTGTCCTGTTTACTCTTCTCTGTGTATTCTATTCTCCTTGGTCTCCCCAGAATTCCCATTTTCATCTATGGAAACTGCTGGACTCTGTCTGGCTTCTTCTTCCTTGCACTGCGCCCTAGAAACTCACCAAGGCAGTACGCTGAGATAATCATAGAGTTCACCTCATTTGTTTCTCCTTTTTGTTTGTTGTGTAATATCCAATATCTTGAAAATTATTAATTCATGTATTTTGTTGGATTTTTGCATTGTTTTAGGTGAGAGGTTACATTTGTTCTCTATTACTCCATATTGGCCAGAAACAGAAGAGTAATTTATTCTTAATCACCTTTAGATGATAGATTGCATGGGCTCATATGATCCCTAATTTAAAATTATCTATCTGTTTGGGGAGTGATAATATTAGAAGCTTAAATTTTCCTGTCTGGTTAACACCTGTATTTAAGAATAGAAGACATCAGCTCCTTCAGGCTGTGTGTTGTCCCTTTATAGTTCACCATTATATTGTCAGTTCTGAGAAAAGCCCGTTGTCTCTGATGGACAAGAAGGCTAGGTTCCCTTTACAGACCCCTGTTTATTAGGGGAAATGCTTAGTGGCTATGCAGCTGTTTAAAAGGCACCAATGCCATGCTGTGGTCTGGCACCCTGCCTTTCCCATGTCCACAGCACCAGCTCCTAACAACAGTGGTTATCATATAGACCTTCCTTCTATTTTATCTTTTTCAAGTTCTCCTTTTAAAATAAATTCATAGTTCCTTTCAAAATATTTATTTTAAAAAATATGAAAATATTTACCATCAGTAATCTCATAAGGGCATTATTTTTTTTTAAAGTTTGATTTTTTTCCCTTTTCTACTCTCACCCATTCTGCTCAGAAACTAGAAAAGCATGACTTCAAACAAAACCAGAGAAGAGATTTTCTTTTTATGAGTCTTGGAGCCCTAGAGAACCTGGGTTTTATTGCTAACCTCTTTTTTTTTTTATTTTAATTGGTCTGTGCCATTATGGTTAAATTCTTCCCTAAACATGTCTGAAACACAGAAGGTAATTATTTCACACTTTAGTGGAATTATCCCAAGACCTATCTGTTGTATTTTGGATCATCTGAAAATAGTGAAATTTGTAAGTTAAGAAAATTAGACATTTAGGCAAAACTGTTGATACTCTACTAGGACAGATCACAGTCATACACATTAATCTTAAAAGCAGAAACTTCACCCCAAAAAAGATTTATTTATTTTTTCTGTAAGTGTTTTGGTATGTTTATTCATGGCAGTTTTATTTCTCAATTACAGAGTTTTAATTTTCCACTTGGAAGATGACTATTCTGAATACAAATTTATTTTCAAGATACTGTCCTCTGAATACTATATTTAAAAAATCCAGTTAACTTGCACAAATTATAGTGCCCCAAGGGCGTTCTTCTTTTTCAGAGGAAAAACCTATAAAAACAAAAGTTAATACTCACAAATGAAAAAGTAGTTGCACAGAGTTAATTTTTTCCTATTGATTTACTTTCTCCTACCAAAAAATCCCTCTCAGTGCATTATTTCCTATTTCTAGGATTTGTAATTGAAGATTCAAATATTTCTCAGCTCTCTTTTTACCCCTCTAACCCCTAAGCTTGATAGTTATCGGAGAATATACTTAGAAGGAAGCAAACCTGTGGTACTTCAGGGACTTTCCTCTCACCTTTCCTATCTTAGGTGTCAAGGTTGAGCATTTTGATTGTGTTTCTTATCAGCTAAACTTCTAAACTAAAGCAGTGGTTTACTATTTCAGTTTCTTCTCAAAGGCTTGTGGTACTTTTAATGGATTAGGTTTTCAAATTAAGACCAAGTTTAATATTGACTATGGCAATGATAGACTAAAACTATTCTGTATTTATTCTACTCATTGTTTTTAAGCCAGTCTACTGGAAAAAAAATACTAGAAAAATATTTTATGTATTAGGTGGACTCTCAATTTTCAAGGAATTAAAAGCATTCTCAGAATATTTCAATGAAAGGAAATTTATTATGAGAAAACATGGGGAAATAAGGTTTACAGGGGTTGAGATATCTTTTTTCTATCTTTGCCTGCTTCCTTTCTTTTCTTTTCTTTCTCTTTTTCTTTTTCTTTCTCTCTTTCTTTTCGTTCCTTCCTTCCTTCTCTCTCTTCTTTCTTTTCCTTCCTTCCTTCCTCCCTTCCTTCCTTCTCTCTCTTCTTTCTTTCTTTCTTTTATTCTTTCTTCTTTCTTTCTTTCTTCCTTTCTTTTTCTTTCTTTCTTTCTTCTTCCTTTCTTTCTTTCCTCTTTCTTTTGCTTTCTTGCTTTTCTTCTTTTGAAACAGGGTTTTATTCTGCTGCCCAGGCTGAAGTACAATGGCATAATCACAGCTCACTGCAGCGTTGTCCTCCCAATCTCATGTGGTGGGAGGGTTTTCTATGTTGCACAGGCTGGTCTCAAATTCCTTGCGTCAAGCAATCCACCCCCATCAGTCTCCCAAAATGCTGGTATTACAGGCATGAGCCACCACACCCAACCTGAAGTATCTTTCGTGACATAATAGAAAATTAAAAATACAAAACACAGCTGTAGGTAAGGACGTGAAAAATTTAGTAATTTGCACTATGTAATTTCACTACATAAACTTATTTATAATGCTTGTATAGAATTTAAATAATACAAACACAAATAACTATAAATCTTTGCTAATGTGTATGCAATATGTGAAAATGTACTTTGTGACATCAATAACAAAGTGTGGGGGGATTGGTACTGTAAAGGAGTAGAATTTAAACTTTAAAATGTTTTATGCAATTGAAATGGTAACAAAGAAAAAAAATCTATGAATTATATATAAAGAAAATGAAAAGGAATTCAAGTCAAGTCACTACAAAACAAATCAAAGAAACACGAAGAAAGGCAGTAGCAGAAGACATGAAGGACAAAAAACTAAAAAATGTACAAAAAAATAACAAAATGTCCTTAGCAAATCCTTCTCTATTAATAATTTCTTTAAGTGAAAATGATTAAATTCCTCAATCAAAAGCTATAGATTGGCAGAATGGGTAAAAAAGGGAATACAACTATGTGCTATCTGCAGAAGACTCACTTTAACTGAGGACACACACATAAGCTGAAAGAAAAAGGATGAAAAAAGATATCCCACGCAAATGGTAACCAAAAAAGATTAGGAATACTTATACCAATGTCACATAAAATAGACTGAAAGTTAAAAACTGTTACGAGCAACAAAAAAGACATTATATTTGATTGTTGCAAAAGTAATTGCAGTTTTTGTCATTAAAAGTAATGGCAAAAACCGCAATTACTTTTGTGCCAATCTAATATAATGATAAAAGGGTGAACTCATTAAGAAGATATAACATTATAAAAATTTATTCACTAAGCATCAGAGCCCCTAAATATATAAAGCAAGCTTTGACAGAATAAAAAGAGACATTCAGCAACACAATAATAGTAAGAGGCTTCACCTCTCCACTTTCAATAATGGATAGAACAACAAAAGATCAGTAAGAAAATAGAGAACCTGAACAACACTATATACCAATTTTACCTAATAATCATGTACAGAACACTCCAATCAAAAACAAAATAATGCACATTCTTCTCACATGCACTTGGAACATTCTCCAGAGTAGACCATATTTTAGGCCAAAAAACAAGTCCTAACGAATTTTTTGAAAGATTTGAATTATACAAAATATATTTTCTGGTCGCAATGGAACTAAACTGGAAATCTGTATCAAAAGTAAAACAAGTATCTATGAATATGTGGAAATTAAACAACGCACTCCTAAACAACTAATAAGTCAAATATTATATCACAAGGGAAATTAGAAAATATCTTGAGACAAAAGAAAATGAAAGCATATAAAAATTTACGAAATGAATTGAAAAGAGTGCTGAGAAGCAAGTTGATATCTGTAAATATGTACATTAAGAAAGAAGGTCTAAAATAAACAACCTAACTTTATATACTTCAAGGAAATAGGAAAAACAACAACAACAACAACAACTACGTCCAAAGCTAACAGAATAAAGAAAATAATAAAGACTATAGATGAATTTAACAGAAAAAAGTAAAACAATTAAAAAATCAATGAAACAAAAACGTGGTTTCTGAAAAGATGAACAGTATTGGCAAACTGATAACTAGACTGACTAATAAAAGAGAACATTTGAATGATTAAAATCAGAAGTAAAATAAGAAACATTGTAATAAATGCCAGAGAAGTAAAAATGAGTGTAAAAGAACACTATGAACAATTGTATGCCAAAAAATTGGATAACCTAGAATAAATAGGTAATTTCTAGAAACACACAACCTACCAGGCTGTCATAAGGAATAAAAATTCAGAACAAACCGATAACTAGTAAAGAGATTGAATCGATAATCAAGTACCTGCCAATAAGGAGACAGTCCAGTTGACTTCTCTGGAGAATTCTACCTTAACACTTAAAAAGAACACCAGATCTCTCTGAAAATCTTCCAAAGAATTAGAAGGGGAGAGGACACTTCCAAGTTTATTCTATGAGGCTAGTATTACTGTGATACCAAAGCAGACAAAGACACTATAAAGAATGAAATCAGCACACCAGGATTCTTAATTAATATTGATGCAAAAATCCTCAAAAAAATACTAGCAAACTAAATTCAAAATTATATTAAATGGATTATACACCATAACCATGTTGAATATACTCCTGGGATGCAAAGATGTTTAAACATACAAAATTATTAAATGTAATACACCACATTAGCAGAATAAAGGACAAAAAAAGACTTGATGATCACAGTTGACAGAGAAAAAGCATTTAACAAAATTAAAAACTCCTTAATAATAAAAAAAACTCACACTTAACTAAGAATAGAAGAAAACTACCTAAAGACAATAAATGCCATGCATGAAAAGATGACAGCTTACATGACATTCAGTGATGAAAGACTAATAGATGTAAACAACCCAAATGTCCATTGATGAACAGATAAACAAAATGTGGTACATACGTACAAAAGAATATTATTCAGCCTTATAAAGGAAGAAAATAGCATTATAAAGTATAGTATAAAATAATAGTAATCCACTCATAAGTTTGTTGTAAAAATTAAAGAATATGTGTAAATGTTCACACAACAGTGCCTGGTATTCATAAGGGCTCAATAAATGATCTGTGCTTCTTAAAAAAGTGCTATCTGCAAACAACGCATATAGTCACATATTTGTTTGTGTGTGTGTTGTGATGATGAGCTGAGACTGGACTCTAGGTGGAATCAGAGACTCACCATAGATACCTAGTCTTATCTGAGTTACAAAAATATTTAGGGCACACCAATATTTGATTTTTTATGTGCACTTTATTTAAAAAATTTGTATCTATTTGAAAAAAATGTGAAACCACAGATCAGAATTACGGCAAATGCGATTATCATTCTTGATCACCTAATTCTATCTAAATCTCTAATGGAAATATTCACTTTAGAACCAAGTTAAGCTGACTCTTTAGGGATCTAAGATATGGTAACACCAATCATGTTAGTAGATAAATGATATATTCATATATATTATATATATATAATTTATAGAGTAAGGGTCAAATAATGCACATTCATGTAAACCATTTTCAGACTATCTTCAAGATACGACTTTTCTCTTTGAAATCTAAAATCATCCATGCTGAGACAGAGGAGAAACTATTTGACCCATTTTAAGATGAGGTTATTGAAGTCAAAGTTATTAAGCATTTTACTTAAGGTTGCCTGGTAACTCCAGGTTTAACTAATTTTTTTCTAACATCTACAACTCTTTCTCCAGTAACATAATTAATTCCTTGACTGACTTAGAATGAAAGTACAAGTTAAAAAGTTCTAACGTTCTGAAAACAAAGAGCATATATAGTGAAAACTATGTGGAAACCAGAGCATTACACATTAATACAGATATTACAGATATTATGTTTTTAAAGATTAAAGCTGATATTTATTCTTTTGACTCTTACATATATAACTTTATTTGGACTGATAACTCTGGGTAAAAAAATAAAGTGATTTTCATGGTCGTAAAATGACATTTGCTTTCATTATTCTACGGCTTTGTATGTTTCTTGCAAGAGAGTGCTCATAAAGCCTGCATATTAAATCACTCAGACATAATACTCCACAAACATCCTGTGAAGATGATAATGACTAAAACTAATTAGCTGATCACTAAGCTATAATTATTCTAAGATAAAATAAGCTATGGGTATTAAAGATAAGTAAGAAAAGTAATGAAGTGCCTGTGTCAGAAGGCGTGGGTCATATGCAGTGCATATGAGCTGAGAAGGACAGAGTAGGTTTAATTTGCTCACATCCTCTGTTTGTATAAAGAAAGCAAACCAGGATTTCCAAAACCTAACCTGAGATATTTACTGAAAGTGAAGTTTTTATTTTAGAATGCTTTTCTTGATGGTGAAGTAGTATTTTTCACTGCTGGTTTTGACTGTTCTTGTTTTCACATGTAGTTTTCACAAGGAAGACTTTCATTATTACCTTTGAAAAAGCACTGTTCTATTGTTAAAAAAGGTCAGTGGACTCTGAAATCTAAGATTCTAGTTTTGAATAAGATCAAACAAATTGTACTACCATTATTGTTATATTTAAGTGACTGACAACTTGGTATTTGGAATTTGTATAATAAATGGCATTATATACATTTATATTAATTAGTCTAATGACAATAAAAAAACTGCATCAATATGACACTTATATTAAAAATATTCTTGCTGGATTATCTGAATTTGCATGCATAATTGGATAGAAAATTTAGATGACATTCTATTGTGACATCTGCCAGCTAACATAAAAGCTAATATTAGATGAATAAACATATGACAGTGAGTAGTTTTTCAATGTCGTAAAAATTAATTCAGAAGAATCCATTTTAAACTATAATAGGCAACATAAACCATATAATTTTGTAGATTTTGTGATTTTGGATTAAAGACAAGGCCTTATTTGTAAGGATTCTTCTGGATTGTATTCTCTATTTATATATGATCCTTGGCAATGTTAATTTGGATTTCAGTGTTGCTTAAGATTTTAACCCTCAAGTAATTATGCTTTATAACACATTTGGGTCCTTAAGTTTGAATGGGTTTAGCATGGTAGATTAGTGCATACTAGATTCATCTCACCAATATATTGGAATCCTTCCATTCTGGCATCAAGAGAAAAAACTGTAAATGATGATGAACTGAGAATTTTAATAGACTGTAATTAATCTTCGGTAGCTTTTTTGGAAATGTGAATCTAATGTATCTGCTTTCTATCCTAATTATAATATTGGTTACAACAGTATAATTTGTCATGCAAAATAGCTTTTCTCTTACATTAAAGTCAAAGTAGTACAGCTGGTAGAAGTTTGCTGGTTTTGAATACTGACACATAATAAATACTCTAAGAAGTTCTGCTGAAGCCTTTTATTCTTGGAAATCTAAAGAGCCTCTTTGAATTCCACAAAGACTAATACATTCTTATTTTTTTACAATCTCAAATATCCCTGTTTCCAGAGATAAAAAAGAGGTCAGAATACAAGACTAAATGAGAATGGGTTCTCTTAGGCTTAATTTTTCAATGTATTTGAAGGACACGTCCTGTTTTGTCTGGTAAGTCGAACAAGTCAGCTTTTTGGAGGGATACACCGGTCAAATTCTCACATCGGAGTCAACCTTTGTCTTCCAAAAGAAACAATTTATCTACTATTAGAATTCTTCTACAAATTTTATAAATAATGTAACTCATTGAAATCAGCATGTATATCTTAACATAGCTAGTGTTACTCTGTCCTCTTGAGATACTAGTTAAAGCATCTCAAAGCTCAGTATAGGTCTAATGGCTGCAATTATTTGGCCAAAATATTTATTGTCAGCTTAGAATGTGCATGGTTCTTTCTTGGAGCTGAATTAAGCACAGTGAACATTTATATATTAACCTCACCTGATAGAGCTTACGATTTAGTGAAGACACACACACAAAATGCCCACCAAAACTAATATAACATTACAAATTATTAATAAACTTTATTAACAACAAGAAAAATAGAGTACTTCAGGAGATGCTAACAGGAATCAGGAAGACTTTCTGTAGAAGACATATTTAATCTTACAATTGAATGATTAAAAGTAAAATTGGTGAGTAAAAGTTCACCAGTAACACAGAATTAAGGCTATTTTAGGGAACGGGAACAATATGAAACCTTCTTTCAACACCTGGTATCTCTACATCTACTGGGATCACTATACTGCCATAGGGCTTATATTTTGTTTTAAATGTGCAGCAATGTCATGCTTCCAATATTTGATCTAGTTGAACAAACACCTGTTTCTTCAATGTTTCTATCCAGATAGGATTCTGTGTTGAGCAGATTGCAGATAGGCAGTTTACAATAGTTGACATTTCACACAAATCAAGAAGTGTGGAAATATTCAGTTCCTTTTAAGTCAATACAACATATTTTGCACTTGTGTTGGAACCATATCAGAGGTTTAGAATAGACAAAATAACACTGAGATCACATATTTATTTTTGTTCTTCGAATGAAAAGACTAGCAATGATAGCAAAGCTCATGCACTTTATCACTAGAATTAAATTGGCCGTTGACATCTCAGCTGTGAGCAAGCTTGAAAGAACACTGGTACTACTTTAGTCTCTGGCTGTGCAAGGATACAGCATGCTAGAAGGAGGTCTAAGAATAAAACATAGAGGCTTGTGAAGCTACAGAATCAATTTGAATAAAACTTTTTGTCTCTTCTTCTTGAATGAAATTTTTATGATGTTTAAAATAAGCCTGCTAACATAGTAGTAAATAAAATGTAATTTATTTTAAAAGTTGATATTAACAAAACAGAGGGTGACTTTTTATTTATTGCTGAAAAATAAAAGTGGTCCTTGGAGCCACAGAAAACCCTGCTCAGTTAAGCATCACATTAATTTTTAGGTGTTGTGCCAGTCCCAGTGTGACATTTGGGTCTGTAAAATTTTGGTGTGTTACTTTGGTGTATATTTTGGCTACATACACAAATACTGATAAAGTTTCTATGGCCTATGAATCATTACTTGATCCTATATCATTTCCATTTTTCAGCAGTGAACTAATTTAATCATAATTTTTAATTTTTTTAAAAAAACCTCTCTATTGAATAAAATCATTGTCTACTGGGTGTTCCTCACAGCTATCTCAGGTTAACTACCAAGAAGGTGGCTAAGCATAACTGTGTCGACTTAGAAACTCAGTCTCTGGCTGATGCTGGTGCTGTTTTATGAATTCATATGGAGCTGATCTCGTGTCTACAGGCTCCTTTTGACTCTCCAGCTGCACCCTGGACACAAAGCTCCTATTAAAAGTAGTTTGTTGCTTTTTGATCCCTTGTAATTTTTTTTATTATTAACTATAAAGCATCATGGGTATAGAGTGTCTCTCTGGGTTTTGACCTGAATTGCATCCCTCAGTAACGAGCCCAAGAATACTTCTTCATGAGCTCTCATTTCATACCTGTACCAGAGATTTCCAAGAGTTTTGGTCCTCTGTCTCTGGCTTCACATTTGCATTCAGATTTTAGCTATTACAAAATATAAATATTAAAATCATTACTTTTTAATAATTTTATTTATAGACTTATTAGCTGAGGTGATTAACACAAAATCTTCACATGAATTGAAGTTTGTTTGGTCCACAATGGAAAATAAATTAAGAAAGTACAAGAGTCATATTTTTACTTATTATTTTTATAAGGTCAGGTATACAATGTTACATTCAACAAAAGAATTAATTGTTTTATAAATACTTCCATTGACTGTTTAGGCCATTTGAAAACAAACCTTAAGATTTCTGAAAAATAGTAATTCAAGATTTAGAATGAAGCATATCGATATTCAGTTTATGTTATAAGAATTTTGCAATGGATTTCTATTAAGTTATTTTCTCTTCTTCCTTTTCTTTTTCTTTTCTTCTAGTTATAAGAAAATAATGCCTTCACTACTCTCTGGTAAGAATATAGCTGATGTGATTCAAATAATCTATATTGAACTAAACCCTGAAATTTATTTCTTTGTTTATAAATTCTTCATAATTAAATGTACTTTCTCAAAATACCTCCAATTATTCTAATTTAGTCCTCCAAACATTTATTTTGTCTTTCATGAAAAACAAGTCAAAATTTTATATATTTGTATAAATTGTTTATATATGAATATTGTTTCCTTGGCAATAACTACTGGAAAAATAAAGATTAAATAGTCAGATATATTGCATTAATCAATAATTACCATAAATGATAGCACAGAATGTCAATACTGGAGATTAGAGTATAGCAAAGAAATAAGGTGTGACATTACTTTCATTTTTTATTTGATATTTCAGAATTTACTTTCAAGAAAATTCTGAATTTTAATAAGATTACCATGCTTCCCTTCTGACTTTTTTTCTGCATCTTGACAAAAATGTCTATAAATGTTTTAAATATCAGAGTTATTGTGCTTACCTAAAATAATATTTAAAATGTCATTTCAGGTTAATGTATAAATGTACTAAATTATCTTTATAGTTTTAAAATATTTACAAATACTTAAAACATTTATTTATTTATTTATCACAAGATTCCATTTGGGAAGGTATCGTTAGGGTAAATTAAAGATTTTCTGATTTCTGTTAAATAAGTTCTCTTAGTAAAATTTATATAACCTACATATTATTCTCCTTTTCCTTACACTTCTGTTTATATTTTTATTAAAAAGTAACAAAAGTTATAAGAATTTTTCTTAAATGTAATGAAAAAAGTGAAAATTACTCATACTCACTACATCATCCTCATTAACTTGGTACTCTTATTTAATTAAGAAGATGATTCTAAAGTCTTAACTCCATCTTGTACCTAAAGAATAGTAAACTGCTTTAAAAAATCAATAGACTAGGGAAAATGTTTGTCACACTGGAATATATTCTATCATTGTACATTTATCATTTGATTTATTGAGACATTCTCTGGGCTAAAGATGTCTCTTCATCTCACCTGGCATACCAGGTTTTTGAATATATCTAAGGCATTCTGCAGAAGAAAACAATATAACTGATTCATCAAAGGCATTACTCAAAGCCCCTAACGACTTTTAGTACATACTTTTTTTAGAATTAGAAGGACCTTGCATTCGTTTTCTCCATTGATCATCCTAACGGCAGTAAGAAGTAAGTAACACAAGCATATTACCCCCACTTGTGCAGATGTCTAAACTTAATCACAGATAGGTTAGTGGTTTGCCCATGACTCATATCTAACAAGGAGCTGATCTGGAATTCCAAGCCAATTTTTCTGAATAAATGGATGCTTTTCACTCTATTTGGCTCACAATAGTTAAATTTCTATAAATATTTTTAAAAGGTTTTACCTTTATTCTGAAATTCATACTCTATTTTGTGAGAAAACTTCACATTTGTATTTCCATTGACGATCCCTCAATAACTTAGCAGTACTAGATTGTTCAGGTTCATGGATACTCTGGCAAAAGTTTAGTTTTAGAGAATATCACATTAAAATAATGAGCTGGAGTAAACCATTTTGTCTATCATTGGAAATAATGTAGAAATCTAAAACAACATCAACAACCAAAATAAAATATTAGAAATAAAATAAACAAATAATAAAGAAAGACAGAGCAGGATAACTGTTTGCATTTTATTTGGTTGTACTAATTAGTTAGATTATAATGTTAATAAGATTATAATTAATTTTAAATCAATTACTGTGTAATTGTTGAGTAAATGGAAAACACAATAAAATGTTAATAAGTGTCTAAAAGCTCCATCAAGGCCTATTGACAGCCAAAGAGATGAATGCAGGCTGGCATGAAAGTCATCCAATGTTGCCATACAAGGTTGTAACGTGACAATTAATATATATAGCCTCCACGTTGTTAGCTTACAGCTTTTAGAGTTTCTAAGAGCTACTGTTAAATATCAGCAGTGAAGAGAGCTGTAAGAGTTATTTTGAGCAGACAACAAAAGTCTCTCTATCCCACTCTAAATTAAAGGAAAAATAAATATTACAGAAGTAGAATATTTGTGGTATTTGGTAAAGTATTAAGGGGAAAAATGCTCATCTTCTATTTAGTCTTCTTTAGCCACTGTAGTGGCTTTCTTATCATCAGCCACATTCATTAACTTTCTGGCTAAATATGAAAATTACCATTACTATATGTGAACAAAATGAGCCCAAGGACTTACAAAGCCTATGCATCAAGGTAAAGAAGGAACATATTTAATTATTCTTGTCTTCGTTTTGTATTGTTTTTAGTTAAAATTTTAGTCAAAACTACCAGCTTAAGCTGATGGATATTTGTCATTTTGCTCATGATGTTCTTATTTCTTTCATTTTTTGTGTGTGTCTAAAACACTCCCACCATACACATTCTTCTCAATGGAATCATTCCATCGAAACATTTGAAAACAAGTCTCACTAATCATACATTTCTACCATAGCTTCAGTGAATAATTTGTATGTATGTGCTAATAGTCTTAAGAGAAATAGGCTCGTTTTCTCTAAGTATATTTCAATATAGAAAATGTGAGCATGAATAAATATTAGCTCTAATTTACCATTTTCCATAATATATATTGAGAGATTTCTTTATTATGGTTTAATTTTGAAGAAGTCTTTACTTATTTATATATTAAGCAATTGCAAATGCAAATTTATTTCATATTTGCAGCTATTTTTGCATATATGTTTTTTCATCAAGAAAAATCTAACTTCATGAAAGTTATTTTCTCATTTATCTTAAGCTATTGAAAATAGAAAGATGATATCTCATAGTGGTTTTGATTTGCATTTCTCTGATGGCCAGTGATGATGAGCATTTCTTCATGTGTTTTTTGGCTGCATAAATGTCTTCTTTTGAGAAGTGTCTGTTCATGTCCTTCGCCCACTTTTTGATGGGGTTGTTTGTTTTTTTCTTGTAAATTTGTTTGAGTTCATTGTAGATTCTGGATATTAGCCCTTTGTCAGATGAGTAGGTTGCGAAAATTTTCTCCCATGTTGTAGGTTGTCTGTTCACTCTGATGGTAGTTTCTTTTGCTGTGCAGAAGCTCTTTAGTTTAATTAGATCCCATTTGTCAATTTTGGCTTTTGTTGCCATTGCTTTTGGTGTTTTGGACATGAAGTCCTTGCCCACGCCTATGTCCTGAATGGTAATGCCTAGGTTTTCTTCTAGGGTTTTTATGGTTTTAGGTCTAACATTTAAATCTTTAATCCATCTTGAATTGATTTTTGTATAAGGTGTAAGGAAGGGATCCAGTTTCAGCTTTCTACATATGGCTAGCCAGTTTTCCCAGCACCATTTATTAAATAGGGAATCCTTTCCCCATTGTTTGTTTTTCTCAGGTTTGTCAAAGATCAGATAGTTGTAGATATGCGGCATTATTTCTGAGGGCTCTGTTCTGTTCCATTGATCTATATCTCTGTTTTGGTACCAGTACCATGCTGTTTTGGTTACTGTAGCCTTGTTAGAATGGCAATCATTAAAAAGTCAGGAAACAACAGGTGCTGGAGAGGATGTGGAGAAATAGGAACACTTTTACACTGTTGGTGGGACTGTAAACTAGTTCAACCATTGTGGAAGTCAGTGTGGCGATTCCTCAGGGATCTAGAACTAGAAATACCATTTGACCCAGCCATCCCATTACTGGGTATATACCCAAAGGACTATAAATCATGCTGCTATAAAGACACATGCACACGTATGTTTATTGCGGCACTATTCACAATAGCAAAGACTTGGAACCAACCCAAATGTCCAACAATGATAGACTGGATTAAGAAAATGTGGCACATATACACCATGGAATACTATGCAGCCATAAAAAATGATGAGTTCATGTCCTTTGTAGGGACATGGATGAAATTGGAAACCATCATTCTCAGTAAACTATCGCAAGAACAAAAAACCAAACACCGCATATTCTCACTCATAGGTGGGAATTGAACAATGAGATCACATGGACACAGGAAGGGGAATATCACACTCTGGGGACTGTGGTGGGGTCGGGGGAGGGGGGAGGGATAGCACTGGGAGATATACCTAATGCTAGATGACACGTTAGTGGGTGCAGCTCACCAGCATGGCACATGTATACATATGTAACTAACCTGCACAATGTGCACATGTACCCTAAAACTTAGAGTATAATAAAAAAAAAAAATTAAAAAAAAAAAACAAACAAACGAAAAAAAAAAAAACAAACAAACGAAAAAAAAAAAATACTTTCCACCTTAAAAAAAAAAAAAAAAGAAAGAAAGAAAATAGAAAGACTAATTTCTCAATATCCAAAGCTACTAAAATAATTATTTAGGGTATTCAGCTATGTTATTTGAAAAAAAATCTCACATGAGTATGCTTAAAAGTCATTACTTTACTGAACAGATGTGGCATTTTATGAACTTTTAGTACTATATAAAACTAGAAATAAAGGTTCAAACAAAAAGTTGAGCACTGGACAATTATGCTATTTGGGATCTAATATTTCTTTCTGTAGGCAAAAATATGGAAATTGGTTAAGACATTTTTAAAAACTTTACCCGGTTACAATGTTTTGTTGTTGTTGTTGTTTTTCTTCTAAGAGAGGCATTTCTTCAATTACATTCAATAATGATTATTTTTCTTCCTGTGAGAGACACTCTATAAGTCATTAGAAGATTTATAGTAGAGCTACAATTTAAGATAGGGCTATTCACTAGTATGGATACTATTCACCTTTATTCACACTTAAACCATTGCCAGCTTTGCGTCCAAGAATGTTAGTTTTCTTTAGTGAAGGAAAATAATAGGAAGTCCTTTTCCAAGTATGTCCAGAGAGAGAAGAATTTCTTGCCCTCCAAAATTCTTACCAATAAATATATAGTTTCAGGTGATAACAAAGGTCACTTAAAAATTCTTGGGACCTGTCAGATCCAACCGTAGCTACAGTTACATTAGGCTGGAGGAGTCCATCATCTATCTTAATCCAGATAGGTGCTGGAAAACCACCTGACTCAGACTCTGTGTGTTTCGTTAATATAGGAGTTAAACATTACACAACATTATGGTCCATGAATAACATCCTTAATCATCATCTCAAGACTCTCTACTGTAATACTGCCTTGTTGTGAGAACATGCCTGAACTCAACATTGTAGAACCAGAGCAGTATCATTATCCAAGTACCTGTCAGATTTGTGTTAATAAACAGTCCACATATTGGCTTATCCTGCAAAGGGAAAAATTTCAATGCTTCTAGAAAGAACGTAATAGCTTTTCTACCAAAACAAAAACAAAATAACAAAAAGTGTTACGTTAGCTTTAGATTTATTTTTGGCAACACTAAATGTCAACTGATTTTTTTTTTTTTTGACACATCGGATTTTTACAGAACAAGTTATTTTCTGGATATAAGATATTTGAGGGACAGGTCATTGACTTTTTCAGGTCAAATGGACTGAGATTTTAAATTAGCCATTCTTGGGGTTATTTTTGAGAGCTATTCTGGGACAGAGGCAATTTACTGTAATTCTGGCCACCTCCTGGTTTTGCAATGAAGTATTTTTTTTTCACCTGTTTGTTGGACTTTTCATCACACTAGGGTTTGGGCACAGTCAAACTTATAGGCACATTTGAAAAATAAGTAAAGTTTTTGTAAGTTGATTCTACTCTTCCTTTAATGTCATTGTTCTTCCATTCCACCAGGCTCCCCTTCTCTCCTTTCTCCTACTGTATGTCCAATACTCGAGATATTTGTGATTTCTTCATTCAGAATGCTTGGACTCTCTATCATTTTCAGTACATATATTTCTGTCTTCAGATTTTTTTCCTTCTCATCCATCTCTAAGTCCTTCTTCTTAGAACTCAATATTTTCCTTTCTTATATAGAATTATAATGTAATTAGTATGTCTTTGGAATACATAGCAGAGTAATACTTTGGAGCCAGATATCTGGATTTCATTTCTGTGTTAGTTTGCTAGAGCTGTAATAATAAAGTATTACAAACCAGAAAATTTAAAGAACAGAAGTATATTGTCTTACTGTTCTTTGTGCTAGAAGTCTGAAACCAAAGTGTTGGTGGGATGGGTTACTTCTGAGAGCTGTGATGGAGCATCTGTTTCATGCCTTGCTCCTAGCCTTTTGTGATTTCCTGGCAATCTTTGGTATCTAGGTATTAATTTGAAATTCTCATTGAAATACTATGACACCTATAATAGTATTATTTTAATTTTACCAGATGCAGAAACATTGTCTCAGGGTAGTTAATGTAAGGGATAGGGATTGTTATGAGTTGAATTGTTTTCCTTGACTTCTACTGTAACACCCCATCTCTGCCTTCATCTTCACATTCTCCCTGTGTGTGTGTCTGTATCCAAATTTCCCTTTTTATAAGGGTAGCAGTCACGTAGTATTAGGGGCCTATTCTATTCCAGTATGATCTCATCTTAACTAATTAACTCTGCAAGGGTCTGATTTACAAATAAGTTCACATTATAAGGCACAGGAGGTTAGGACTTCATCATATAAATTGGAGTATAGGAAACACAAAAATAACTCATCAACAGCTCTTACATTAGCCTCTGTGAGCCAAAGTTTATGTTTCTGTTAAAATTAGAATAGTACTATTACCTACCTCATAGTATTTTTATAAGGATTGAGGGAATTAATACCTAGATAGCACTTAGAATGATAGAGGACATATAATAAGCACTGCTAATAATGAATACATGTGATATTTCTGATACAAATACATTTTAATGAAGATATTCAAAGAAAATGTTTATAACTCAAATCAGTCAGAGTTGAGAGCTTTATTTATTGTCTAGATAGGGGGTTTGATTCCTTATTTTTAGATGCCAAGTGAAAACACTTTTAGAAGAGAATTATAACATTCACTGCTAGGTACTACTTATAGCTCTACTATATCATGGTCACCTAGTATTAAAAACTCATACTGATTGGTGCCTAATCACCAGAAAAGTTTTTGGTAGTGTGTTTCAGTATCTCTCAGCTATCTGGCCACATATTTCAGAAGAATCATGTGACTTACATTCTTTATAGTTTGAGGAAATTGCTATTGTAGTTTGCTTTATGTGCAGCATTTTTAGATTTAACATAATCTTAAATGTACATTTTCATACATTACTCTGATGTGGGAAAAAAAGGAAATAATACCAGAAAATTCTCCCAGGCTGCTTAAGCTAAAAAATAAACATATTCAATACTGTTAAGATGTAAATGAACAACATATTGCATTCTGATACAGCTGCACAAATGTTTGTACTTCTATAATTTTTATAACAATAAAGCTTTGAGGTTATTTTCATACATGGATTTTCTAAAATCTCATTAACACCTTTGCTACCTGCTTACATTTTGTGTTTTATGTTGTGATATTGACAAAATGATAAAGTTCTTGCTGTAATTTGGTTGCACATTATTTTTAAGTGTGCTGCAAACTCATATGAATATGGAGATTGTAAGGAACATTTTAGGCAATTAAAAAATGAGCAAGAACCCAAGATTCCAAAGTGATGGAAATAACTTAAATGATATAATAAAAAGTTCAGACCTTCGGAAGAATTTTCTATTTACTAGTTTAACAACTTAGACTTTTTAACTCTTTGGTTTGGTTTTCATCAACTTTATTGAGATGTAATTGCTATGTAGTAAACTACACATAAACCTTATTATTTGACAAATTTTGATTTATGTATATATTTGTCAATTGCCATGTTTAATATTACAAATCTATTACCCTAAAAGTTTCTTTGTTACCTTTTATCATCACTCTCTTGGTATATCTTTGCCTTACCCACTGTCCTCAGGAAATCACTGCTCTGCTTTCTACTAGTGTAGTTTAGTTTCCATTTTTTAAAATAATATATAAATGAAATCATACACTATGCACATGCACTTTTTTGTCTTTAAGTCATGCAGCATAATTTTGTGACATCTATCCATGTGGCTGTTGATATCAATAGTTTATTCAGTCTTATTGCTGAGCAATATTGCATTGTTTGGCTATATCACAGCTTGTTCACAGTTATAATGAGTAAATTATTGGGCAGTTGGATCCTTTCCAGCTTTTGGCTACTACAAATATAAGTGCTATGAACATTAATGCATAAGCCTTTGTATGGACATAAATTTTTAGTTTCTTTGGGCAAATATGTAGGAGTGAGATGGCTGGATCATATGGTAAGTATGAGTTTCACTTTGTAAGAAACTGAAAAATGTTTCCAAAGTGATGTTACCATTTTGTATTCCATCAGTGGATTTGAGAGTTTCTGTCATAAATAATCTCAAGGATATACACCTTGCCAAACAGTTTAACTTGATTTGTAGGCAAAGGAAGTGATGTGAGATAAATCAATTTAAAGAGTATTAGATAATTCTAGTTTTTTTAAAAATACAACATATTCTCATTTTATATGATAGTCTATGGAAAATCAGATTCCACTTCTTTTTCTATTCTTTGAGGCTCAAGGTTTATAGAAAGTGTTGACATATCAATAAGAAGAAGGTGTCGACCTACTAGATTGCGAAAAACGAAAGTGCAGTGATGATGTTACTTGCTTTGTCTAAAATTTTCATTTTTGAATTGACATATATCACTTCTGCTATTTACACTTGTCAAAACAAGTTATCTGGGCAAATTTTTTAAAAGCTGTGGAAATTATACATAAAGCAAACATAAGAAGACTCTGAAAAGTGGCAGAAAGAAAGAAATGAGAATGGCTGAGAATCTCAGGACATGAAGAATGACATGGTGGTGAGTTCCCTGGTTTTATTTTTGCAACTTATATACTGGATTAGGTGTCAGAGAAGATAGCAACCCAGAAGTGCCAATAAGTGCATACTGAAAATAAAAAATAAAATAAAAAATAAAAACTCATCAAAATGCTGCCATTTCCAGCTTTTTTTTAGTAGAGACGGGGTTTCACCATGTTAGCCAGGATGGTCTCGATCTCCTGACCCTGTGATCTGCCTGCTTAGCCTCCCAAAGTGTTGGAATTACAGGCGTGAGCCACTGCACCTGGCTTTTTTTTTCTAAATACGCTAACATCCATGAATTTCAGAAATTTTACCTGGATATCTCTGTGGGCCAGTTTTCCAGCCTACTACCACATTTATGGGCAATATTGATTCATCAATTTTATTTTTGTACTGCTTTTGTCAGATTTTATTGTTAGAGTAATATTAGCTTTATAAGATAATTTGGGAATGATTTAGATCACTTTGGGTATATATATTCCAAGTAATGGGATTTCTGGGTCAAATGTTAGCTCTAAGGTTTTCGGGAAATTTTCCCACTGCTTTCCACAATGGCTGAACTAATTTTCATTCCCAACTGCAGGGTTTAAGCTTCTCTTTTCTCTGCAGGCTCACCAGCATCTGTTAATTTTTACTTTTTAATAATAGCTCTTCTGACTGTTGTGAGATGATATCTCATTGTGGTTTTTATTTGCATTTCTCCAGTGATTAGTGTTGTTGAACACTTTTTCATATGCTTATTGGCTATGTGTATGTCTTCTTTGGAAAGTGCATTTTTATGTCTTTTGCCCATTTTTTTAATAGGGTTGTTTGGTTTTTGCTTGTACTTCTTTTTTTAAGTTCCTTATAGATTCTAGATATTAGACCTTTGTCGGATGCATAGTTTGCAAATATTTTCTTTCGTTTTGTGGGGTATCTATTTACTCTATTCATAGTTTCTGTTGCTGTGCAGAAGCTCTTTAGTTTAATTAGGTCCCATGTGTCAATTTTTGTTTTTGTCATAATTGATTTTGGCATCTTCATCAAGAAATCTTTGTCAGGACCTATGTCCAGAATGTTATTTTCTTGGTTTTTGTCTATGGTTTTTATTGTTTTAGATTTTATTTGAGTCATTAATCTATCTCAAGCTGATTTTTGTATATTGTGTAAGAAAGGGTTCCAGCTTTAATCTTCTGCATATAGCTAGCCAGTTATCCCAGAATCACTTATTGAATAGAAAGTTCTTTCCTCATTGCTTGTTTTTGTCTACTTTATTGAAGATCAGAAGATGGTTGTAGGCATGCAGCTTATTTCTTACTTTCTATTCTGTTCTATTTGTTGATGTGTCTGTTTTTGTGCAAGTGCCATGCCATTTTGATTATTGTAGCCTTGTAGTATATGTTTTTAAATCTACAGTCATTGGGGATATTGGCCTGTAGTTTTCTTCTGGGAAGCAGACATGATTTGCAGAAGAGTAATTGACCAGTGAGGGCCATCAACTCCATTCTTATCTATGTGTACCCTGGGAATGCCCATGGCTGCATGAAGGGCACCCACCTCCTCCCCAAGTGGTTGCAGCCCTAAGTTTTCCCTTCTTAAGATATAGGCATGATCTGTATGGAGATCTCCCTGGACTGTTGTCCCGAGCTGTGTCAGAGACGGACATGGTTCCCTTCCCAGGACTGGAGCTTTTTCTCAGCGACATCTTGTAGGCACAGATGTGAAGACTGGTATCTGTAGTATAGTTTGAAGTTGAGTAACACGATGAGTTACTCAACATGAAATTGAGTAACAGCTTTTTTTTTTTTTTTTGCTTGGAATTGCTTTGGTTATTTGGTATATTTTTCATTTCGTATGAATTTAAGAATGATTTTTTTTCTAGTTCTCTGAAGAATGTCATTGTTAGTCTGATAGGAATAGCATTGAATCTGTAAATTTCTCTGGGCAGTCTGGCCATTTTTACAGTACTGATTCTTCCTCTCCATGGACATGGAATGTTTTTCCATTTGTTTTTCTCATCTTTGACTTTTTTGAGTAGTGTTTTCTCAACTCACTGTACTTTTCATTGTAGAGATATTTCAGCTGTCTGGTTAGTTGCATTTGGGAGTATTTTACTTTATTTTTTGTGGCTATTGTGAATGGGATTGTGCTCTTGAGTGGGCTCTCAGCTTGGATGCTGTTGGTATTTAGAAGTGCTACTAATTTTTCTACATTGATTTTGTATCCCTAAGCACTGATGACATTGTTTATCAGCTCAATAAGCTTTTGGGCAAAGCTTGTAAGTTTTCCAGGTTTAAAATCATATTGTCTGCAAAGAGAGAGAGTTTGACTTTCTGTCTTTCTATCTTGGTGCCTTTTATTTCTTTTGTTTTCCTGATTATTCTGGCTAGAACTTGCAGTACTATGTTAAATAGTAGTGGTGAGAGTAGGTATCCCTGTCTTTTACTGGTCCTGAAGGGCAATGCTTCCAGCTTTTGCCCATTTGGTATGGTACTGGCTTTGGTTTTGTCACAGACGGCTCTTCTTTTCAGATGTGTTTCTTCATCACCTAGTGTGTTGAGAGTTTTTAACATGAAGGGATGTTAGATTTTATCAAAAGCCTTTTCTGCATCTGTTGACATGATCGTATGTATTTTGTTTTTAGTTCTATTTTTGTGATGAATCACATTTATTGATTTGCATATGTTGAATTAACTTGCATTCCAAGAATAAAGCCTACTTGATTCTGGTGGATTAGCTTTTTGATGTGCTGCTGGATTCAGTTTGCTGGTGTGGTGTTGTCTACATCTGTGTTTATCAGGAGTATTGGCCTGTAGTTTTTTTTTTTTAACTGTGTCTTTGCCAGATTTTTATATTAGGGTGATGCTAGCTGAGTTAGGGAGGAGTCCCTCCTCCTTGAGTTTTTGGAATAGTTTCAGTAGAATTGGTTTCAGCTCTTTGACTGTTTGTCTGTCTGGTAGAACTCTGCTTCGAATTCATCTGGTCCAGAGTTTTTTTTTGTTTGATAGGATTTTATTGCTGATCCAATTTTGAACTCAGTATTTGTCTCTTCAGGGTTTCAAGTTCTTCCTGTTTCAATCTTGGTAGGTTGTGTGTTTCCAAGAATTTATCTATTTCTTCTAGGTTTTCTAGTTTGTGTGCAGAGAGGTGTTCAAAATAGTCTCTGAGGGTCTTTTGTTTTTATGTGGGATCAGCCATAACATCACTTTTGTTTTTGTTGATTGTGATTATTTGTATCTTCTCTCATTTTGTTTCTTTAGCTAGCAGTCTATAAATCTTTTCTATCAGGTGAAATTCACCTCTGATATTTCACGTAGGTTCTTTTCTGTATTCCTTAAGTGTCGGCTGGTCTGAGAAATAAAGGGACAGATTACGAAAGAGAGAAATTTTAAAGCTGGGTGTCCGGGGGAGACATCACATGTCGGCAGGTTCCGTGATGCCCTTTGAGCTGTGAAACCAGCAAGTTTTTATTAGTGATTTTCAAAAGGGGAGGGTGTGTACGAATAGGGTGTGGGTCACAGAGATCACAGGCTTCACGAGATAATAAGATATCACAAGGCAAATGGAGGCAGGGTAAGATCACAGGACCACGGGACCGGGGCGAAATTAAAATTGCTAATGAAATTTCGGGTACACATTGTCATTGATAACATCTTATCAGGAGACAGGATTTGAGAGCAGACAACCAGTCTGACCAAAATTTATTAGGCAGGAATTTCCTCATCCTAACAAGCCTGGGAGCGCTACAGGAGACTGGGGCTTATTTCATCCCTCAGCTATGACCGTAAAAGATAGCCATCCCCAAAGCGGCCATTTCAGAGGCCTCCCCTCAGGGACGCATTCTCCTTCTCAGGGATGTTCCTCGCTGAGAAAAAGAATTC